>NC_000006.12:65337654-65640685 GCF_000001405.40 Homo sapiens | reverse complement strand
ATAGCAGCAATAAAAGTCAGAAAACAGTAAAATGATATTCTCAACATGCCAAATAAAAACCCAGAACAACACAGAAAGAACAATAACAGCAAAACTCCCAACCTTGAATTCTATATGCCTTGAAAATACCCTTCAAGAATGAAGATGAAGTAAAATACTTTTCAGACAGAGGAGTAGCTGATTTTGCTTTCAACAGCAACTGAAGACATATACATATTTCACGGATAGCCTATGTATTAAAAAGTTTCCTAAAGGAAAAAAAAAACTCTTTTTAATGAAAGAATTATTTTTGAAATTCATTTAGAGATACTCTCATGAAAACCATCACTATGAAAATACAAATATGATCCTGCATATAATTTTAGAGGTTTCCTGCCAAGTTGAAGCCCTTTCATGGACCCACTGAATTACTGCTGACATTTCCCTAACATTTCTTTCCAGTATGGCATTTGGGTTCATAGGTTTAAAATACAATGGAATGGGAAAAGCATTATTCTATAAATAATGTACTATTGTATTATTTGAGCTTACACTTACTTTTATTTGTAGAATTTTTGTATGTCAGTTGCTTTCAAAGACTTTGTTACAGGTATACTGCCCATTTTGAAAGTTAATTACCATCTTATTTCTCTCAGTAATTACACAGACAATAAATGTAGGACTATAGCTAAAGGCAGGATACTGGCTAATCTGAAAGGAGGGGATTATATCCCTCCATAAGATGTGGGAGAGCTTAGGGATGATGAGAAGAAACTGAAAGATAAAATAATTTTTCTTATTTCTTTTTTTCCAGCTTTGTGCCTCACTCTTCTCTTACACCTGGGGAGTCAAGTCTGGATCCTCTGCTCCATATTTATTTAGCAAATAAAACACTGATCTCAAACAGCAACGGAACCTGTGTACTTGAGGTAAGGATAAGAGTCCTGAGGAAAAAACAGGTTCTGTGTTTTTATAATCTTGCCTCATTCCCTGCTTTCCATGGCAATTTTTGCTTCCTTATTCAGAATCTTTCACCATTCATTAACATCCTACTCTAGAGAATTTCAGGTTTTATCGTTTTTGGCTCTACTAAATGGTTCCTACCTCTTAAATTCACTTTAGATCCGCTAAAAGTGTGCTGAAATATCTCAATTTTTGTAGTCACAATTCTATGGGTTTTCACATTGTTGGTGTTACTTTGTGATAACATTATTTGGGCCTTGGAAAGAGAAAGAGATGCATTTAAATAATCCATTATTAAATGCATCTCTTTCTCTTTCAAGATGAAAGGATTGAATAATTTTTTTTTGAGTTAATGGATAAACATATACAGGTTTTTATTCTTCTAGAAGTGACCCTTTATTACTTCCCTAATAACTTATCTTATTTATTCAGACTGGAAAATTCTTCCTGAAACTTGACTTAATAGAGTTCTATTCTCTTCCTTTCTCTACTCCTCCTTCCACTGACAACTAGTTTTAAATGTAGTATTTTCTCATATTGATATTATCTTAATCATACATTCTCAGGTTTTTTGTTCTCTGTATTTTATTATGAGCTTATTTACTTTTTCTCTTAGATTTGGCAACTAAGAGGATATTGTTCTGAAGTAGCTTGATATCTGCTTGTTCTAGTATCCTGCCAATCTCCATTTCAATCATGTTACTATTTGTTTTGTCTGAACTTTTTTCTACAGAGCAGCTAGGAGAATATAGAGCATGGTAATTAAGAGGGTATTGTGTGACTTCACAATTTCTAAATTAAAATCTTGGCAACACTGCTGTCTTGAGTTCCTTAGGGTGTTGCTTTTCCAGCTGGAAACCTCTGTGGCCAGTGGCACGTTTGCCTGAGTTTTGCTTGGGCCCACTGGCTCGTTCTGCCCAGTCAGCCTGCCAGGCTGTGCTTGGCTTGCACCACCGGCTAGGATCCCACGCCGGCCAAGGGTAAGCCAGGCATGGAGTGGCAAGGGATATGTGAGAAAGTGAGCGTGGGGTCCACCCACTGCGCACAGCCAGGCATGCTGGCTGCTGCAGCGCGGTGGGCAGCTCCAGGCACCGGCACAGGTGCGGGCTCTGTGTAAGGCTGTGGCTGGATCAGATGTACCACAAGCAGCTTCCACTGTGGGCACCTGTGTCTGGATGAGGGGACTGCGGTGGCACCCAGAAGCTTCGAGACGCCAGGAACCACAGAGCCCCAAAGAGGGTGTCACGGCCCTGGCTCGGGGAGCCCCTAGGTCTGGCGTCCCCAAAGGGCCTCTTCAGCTCTTCTCTCCTTTTCATCGCCCACAGCATGGCGATCGGGGGGAGTTTCAGCCCTGTTTGTGTTACAGCTCTTTCATTCCCACCATTCAGTTGGTCTTGACTTCTTGTCCTGCCTCTTAAAAAAATGAGGTATGCGGACAACTGGAGGGTGAGCAAGGTGGAGAGGAGCTTTACTGAGCAACAGAACAGCTCAGAGGAGACCCCTAGTGGATCGCTCCTTTCTGCAGACAGGTCATCCTTATCACTCCAGGAGACCTGAAGTGGGTAGTTCCTTCCCACAGCTGGTAGTCCTGACATATGTCTGAGTCTGGCTGAGTCCAGGGTTTCAGTGGGCTCAGAAGGGAGGAAATATGCGCTTATTTGTCCATGGGCTGTCATTGGCAGGCCCGAAAAAAGCACCGTAAGTTCTCACTCTGGGTAGTGGACTCCAGCTGGAACTGACAACCCGGCCCCCAGGCTTCAGGCCATCCCTGCCTTGAAGGTGGGGTTTCACCTGGGATGCACCCCTTTCCACCCGAGGGCCTGTCTGCTTCTTGCCACCATCAACATGCTGTCCACAGTGCCCAGGCTGTTTGTGTTGAGGGGTGCTGCAGGCCCATGCTGAGCTGCTCTCACCACTCACCACGCCCGCCAGCCTCCCTCCTGTGCTTGTTGGTGCCCGAAGTCTGGAGGAGGCTGAGGCAGCAGGGAGCTGGTGTGTCAGCCCTGTCCCGAGTGCCCGCACACTTGTTAGAGTTGCAACAGTGCCCAGGCTTGGTTACAACTTTGCTCCATGCCAGAGTGGGTGCTGGAAGTGGGGAGAGGCCAGGGAGCAGGAGCAGGTACTTTCAAGCCTGCTATGGCAAGTAGCTTCCTGGGCCCCCAAGAGTGCAGTGATGCTAGAGTCCAGCGCCACAGCTGGGTGGCTGCAGCTGTGCCAGGGAGCACGGGCTTCTGCCTCATCAACTAAGTAGGGGTCTGGGCTCTCGCCTGCTCCTGGCTCCCACCAGCTCTGCAGAACATGCAACCCTGTCCATGTCTCATGCTGTGCAACCAGCATCCTTGCAGCAGCTGCTCCACACTGGTCGTCACTTCCATCACTAGTTACTAGCAATGTGACCAATGCCAATTATTTTAAATATAATAAATTTGAGTTTTTTCCTTTTTTCTGTGGAGGAAATAACTCATTAATGTGAGGATTAAATGAGAAAATGCATATTAAATTATTCACCAGAAACTTACTAAAAAATCTGTGGGTTCTCTACAAATAAAACAAACAAAATTTCTGCCTTTATCGTTTTTAAATTAAATTCAGGAAGACATATAGTAAATAATAAATAAATGTGACCAAGTGTGTTGGCTCATGCCTTTAAGCTTAGCCTTTAATCTTAGACGCAGAGGTGGAGGATCGCTTAAGCCCAGGACTTAAAGACCAGCCTGCACAACATAGGGGGATGCCATCGCTACAAAATTTTTTAAAAAAACAACATATCCAACTGTGGTGGTGTAAACTGGTAGTCCCAGCTATTCAGGAGGCTGAGGTGGGAGGATTGCTTGAGGCTGGGAGGTTGAGGCTGCATTGATGAGCTGTGATGACACCACTGCACTGCAGCCTGGGTGACAGAATTGAGATCCTGCCTCAAAAAATAAATAACTAAATAAATAAAAGTAAAGTATATAGTGTCATAGAAGACATGAGTTAAGGAGAAAAAGCAAATACTTAAGAGTAGTGTATATTATAGTACATAAATTATATATCATAATAAAACATTAATGATAGAAATAAAGAATGGAAGATTAGAGAATATAGGAAGTACTAATGGGAAAGAGAAGTGGATAATCTTTTATGCTTTTATTTATTTTTATTTTTATTTTCCTCATTCTTGCTGTCATCTTAAGGGAAGTGGTTAATTGTTGGCTGTTTTATACAGAATAGTCAAGGAAGAGCTCACTGAGGTAATCAAATTTGAGCAGAAATTTGCAAGAGAAGAGATATCCATGTAGCTAGTTGGTTGAAGAGCAATGCAAACAAAGAATAACCAGAGTAGACTTCCAGGCAGGAGAATGCTTGGCATGTTCAGGAAGACAAGCAAGCAAAAAAGTGTAGCCAGAGGACAATGAATGAAAGAGGCTATAATATGAATTGAGGTCATGGAAATAACAAGGTAGGGTTGGGGAGGAAGTGGGACTGACTGCAAAACATTTTGTAGGTTGTTGTCAAAGATTTTCGCTTCTGTTTAAGAAAGACAGCAAATCATTGAAAAATTTTGCGCAGAGAAATGACCTTGTCTTCTTTTCAGTTTTACTGGGTCATTCTGACTGAGGTATAGAGAATAGGCCAAATAAGACAAGAGTAGAAGGATAATTGCTTGATCAGTTCTTCCTGCCCGCTGCATAAATAAAGACCATGGCATTGCACTGAAGAAAAGTTTAATTGACACAAGGCCTGCCACACTACACAGAAGATGGGGTTGTTACTCAAATCAATCTCATCTCAGGCTTTTAGGTTAGCAGTTTTTCAAAGACAGTTTGAGGGAAGGGATGGGGTGGCCAGGTAATGGGTACTTGCTGCTGATTGGTTCAGGCAGAGATGAAATTGTAGGAGGGCACAGCTATCCTCTTAAGCGGAGTTGCTTCCATGTGGAGCCATAGGAGCAATCAGGTCCAGGTGTCAGACAGGCAAAAAACCTGAACAAATATCTCAAAAGGGCAATATACTATAGTGATGTTGCATATCTTGTGATCAGACCACACCTTAGCTCTTCCCCCTAGCCTGATAATGTTTCATTAGATTTACAAAGGTGGTTGAGTTTTGGGGGAGGCCTATTATCATTTAAAACTAAATTTTATATTGAATGGGTGCTGTGGCTCGTGCCTGTAATCCTTGTACTTTGGGAGGCCAAGGTGGGAGGATTGCTTGAATCCAGGAGTTTGATACAAGCCTGGGCAATATAGGGAGACCTCATCTCTATAAAAATAACAAAATAAGATAAAAGTCATATAAACTAAATGTCTCTCAAAGTTAGCTTAGCCTAAGCTCAGGAATGTTGAAGGGAAAGGCAAGATGGGGCGGGGTGGTTAAATCAGATCTCTTTTACTGTCATAATTTTCTCCCTGATATAATTTGCAAAGGTAGTTTTAAACCCTGCTTTGGGCTCCATAGCACCTTACTCTTAAGGTGTTGGCTATAGAGATGGGAAAAGGCTGATGGTCACTCTAGCTTCTTCCTGTTGACAAGAGGCATAGTTGTGGGGTTGAGGTGGGTTATGCACAAGGGAAATAAAAATAAAACCACTTTGCAGTTATCTGCATCTACTCATGGGGTTCCCAGTTAGTGTTCCTAGGCTTATGTGACAAAGATGTTGATAACCTTACCAACAGTTTTAGCACAGCACTTAAATGAACTGCAGACTAGTCCTGAAACTAGATCAGTTCAGTTAAACAGCTGTTTCCAATATGAGGAGATGGCATCTCAGGTGGTCTAGGCTTCTGTCTGTGATGAAGGCAAATTGATTTTTAATAAGAGGCATTTCTATAGAGACAGAAGAAAAATGAAGTTTAATGTTGGGCACAATTTATCCAGATGTTAGACTCAAAGAACTTTTAGTTATAGAAGAGGAAGGCACTGGCAATCTGACATATTCTTCTCACCTGTATAACAAGGACTAAGCTTCAGCTTGCAGGGCCTCAGGAAATATTTTGATGGGGTTACGACTAGATTTGCTAAAAATATGGAATGTAGATGACAGAGAGAAATCAAGGATGACTCCACAGTTGTTGGCACAAGCATTGAAACATTAAATTGCTATTAACTGGAATGGGGAAATCTTCAAGAGGATCAGGTTTTGCAGAAGTCAAGTTTGAAATATGGATAAACTTCCATGTAGAGTTGCCGAGTAGCTAGCTGAATAGATGACTGGCCTTGTGATAGAATTAAGATTAATCATCACATAAACACTGTATATTCATGAGGTTATATAAGATCGCTAAGGGAGTGGGTGTAGATAAAGGAGTAAAATGCTGAATCCTAAAGTGATTCAATATTTAGTGGCCTTAACATGGAAGCTAACACTATTGTTATGACTCAGTAAATGACAGGACATTTGAATGCATCCATTATAATTTTTTTAAATTATAATCAAGTAACACTACTAACAGTGTATTTCATATGTAGAGAATCCTTTATAGATCCACGAAGTCCAGGGCTGAAGAAGTTGCTCAGAAATGTAGTTAGGCACCCTAACTCTGTTTTCTTTCTATCCGTCCTCATTTGTCCATATGTTTGTCTCTTCATGTATACTAAGTAATGACTGCAATCCCAGGTGTTGTTCACAATACAGGTTGGAAGAAGCAAATATAGGAAAGGGACAAAGAAAAGAAGAGCCAAGCCAGTCAAGTCTGTTTATTTTAAAAACATTTCCTGGAAAGATTACTTAGAGATTTCTGTAGTTTCTGAAAGAATAGCTGCAAGAGTCTGGAAGTATACTTTAGCTTTTCATATTCTCTAGCAGGGGTCAGCACACATTCAAGGCAAAGGCCGAAGAGCACTGAAGACTTTGGGACCATGTGACCTTTCTCCCAACTACTTACCTTTGCCATTGCAGCGGGAAAACAGCCATAGACAATATGTAAATGAATGACTGTGGTTGTGTTTTAATAAACTTTATTTACAAAAGTAGGAAGGACTCCAATTTGATCTGTGGGCTTTAGTTTGCTGACCTCTGCTCTATAAAAGTGTGAGAAATTGGAAAAGGGCCAGTTTGTGGCTTTGAGGGTAGGTATTTCATAATTATAGTAGATGTATTCTAGGCAGCTACTATTAAGCAACACTGATTATCTCAGTAAACTGTAGAGGGAGAAGCACTGAATAATGGACAGCTTCACCACTTAATACCAGTGTGAACTTGGGCAAGTCACTTATCCTTCCAATGACAAGTTTTCTCATCTATAAAACAGAGACATTAAAACCTACTTCGCCTACCTCTACAGATTAGTGGGAGAATTAAATGAAATAATGTGAAATAAAATGAAAATGCTTTGAAAACTCTCTGGTATTCACAAGTATGTGGTACTTCAGACTTGGCACAAAATGCATTCTGTAAAATACATTGAGCTTTTCTTTCCTCTTTTTTACAATGTCTTTTCATATAATTACAAAATGAAATATAGCACACTGCAAGAAGGTAAAGTGTTACCATTGTAGCCTAACCCTGCTTAGAAAAGTGGTGAGAGCAAAGTGAACTCAGATGTGAATTACTAGAAGATCTAAGTGAGAAAGCATTAGATATACAAAAGTCAAAAAATAAATCTTATGATGGATAGTTCAGAGAAAACACAACCCTAACAATGCAATGATTACGTTGTGGTAGCAAGAAAAATACTTTATATAGTATCTTTATATGAGCCAACCTTTTTGACTTCTCATTTACTATTAAAAATACTATTTAATAAATTTCTGTAGATAGACATATTTGCTGTGTAACATTGAGGCTTTTATTTTATTAATTACATAAGCTACATGGAACACAGATTCAAGGGCCCTCAGTTATGGTCCTCAATTTATCCCTATTTACTAGTATCCTCTGAAATTCAGGGAAAGTTATTTAACTTACTTGGGACTCAATTTCTTCACCTATGGAACATGGAAGTTAAACTAGGTATCATAAGATAATCTTCTAGTTTTTCAATTCTTTGTTTCTACTTGAGAAAATATAACTTACCTAGTGGTATATATTACATTCTTATAGTCATCCAAGTAGCATAATAAGTTATTAAGGAATAACTAATACATTTATAACACTGTTCAGAATGCATATTTCTTCTGCTCAAAAACCACACAAACAGCAACGCTGACCTTTCAATGGAAAATGAGGATAGTAATTGATATGCTAACCTGTAGCATAAAATGAAATTTGGAATATGATAGAGCATGAATAATAACATGCTCACCCGCACCAAGGGAGCTCTTTATACTATAGGAAAAAGAAGAAAATTTGTATTTTTGTCTTTATAGAGTTAGTGAGTATAAGTGCGGATTTCTTACATGCATACGTTGTCTAGTGGTGGAGTCCAGGCTCAGAAAAATTTTATTAGACATTGATTTTGAATTTTATTTGAGTATTTACACTTCCAAAATGCATTAACTTGTCAAGTGGAAATCAGGAACATTCATCTGTCTACTGATGAACGAGCAGAGAAAATCTGGTACCTATAAAGCATCCAGATAAGAATATAAGTACAAAGCATGCAGTTGCTTTGCATTCAGCATTGTAACAGGCACTTTCATAAACTCCTCATGAGCTCATTTTGCCTACTTTTTATTGGTTCTGTCCATAGAACTTTCAGGATTTTTTTTTGGTTTTTGGCAGTTAAGTGTTAGGCTCTGTGGCAAGTTTGAATCCCACTTCTATTACGTTAACAATTGTGTTACCTAAGACATATTGTTTACCATAATCTTTCTGTCATTAAATTTCCTCATATATAAAGTAGGAGAAGTTGTAAGAGAATTAGAGTGATGTGAGAACTAAAGAGTGTCTGCCACATTGTACATATTCAGTGACTTTAGCCACTAACTGAATTATAACCTTTCTTTCCATTCATTATTCTCTTTTATGCTTGGGAACTCTAACATCCATAATAATGGACTTTCTAAAATTTGGCCTCACAGTTCCTGGAACACCTACTAGTAAATTTTACTTATACTCTACTCGAATTATCCATAGGCACATTAGAACTGCTGACACAATCTTATTTGCATGTTAAAAAAATTTATTCTCCCTCTATGGAAAGAAGACTTGCAGATTATGAACATGAAAGAGAAAAATCAATTACAAGTCTTTTATAGTAAATCAGAGTAGAGATGACAGTATTTGTGCTTGTTCAGTCATAATGAAGTTGTAGAGAAACAGAGATCAGACTAGATTTTTCAAGTAAAACTCACCTCCCACTTGCCCCACAGAGGGAAAACAACACAGGATTTTTTTTTTTTTTTCCATTCATGTTAGGTGTCCATTATAGCCCATCTGGTGTATATGCCATCCTCATTCAAGGACCAAAGCTAATATTACTTTTCACAGTAGCTGGAGGAAATAACACACTGGAGGATATCATAGTGGATTAAGTACTTTGGTCCAGAAATGATATGCATTCTTCCACCCCACCTCACGGACTGAAACTCACCACCCAGCCCCATCCTCCAGACAGAATTCAGGAAGTGCAACTACCTTGTGTCCAGAAGGTGGGCTGGAGAATGAGGATATTTTTCAACAGCACAAATAATGGTCACATCTGTCTTCATTGTCACCAAAAACTTGGTTGATCCTCTTTTTTACAGGGGTCTCCCATTAATCACAGTAATTTATTCCTGCGAATTAGAGGTTTATGTGTGAAAATACTAACAAGTAGCCTATTTCTTAATAATTTAAATGAAAAATATTCCTAATGAGTTACACATCAGTCAAATATTTACAACCAATATATTACTTTTTAAAATGCATTAAAGAATACACATTATGAACTATTGCCTAAGTATATAAATTGCTTACATCTTTGGTTCTTAACTACCAAACAATACGGTTGTTAACAAGCAGTTCTTTTGCATTCAGTAAGTTTTCTTCCATTGATACAGCTTTTCTCAATAATTTTTATACAAATTTCTTTATTGTTTGGAGGACTTGTTTTACTATTTTAGACAAGTACTATAGAAATATAAAAAGTAATGTGGCAAGATGTTCAACACAAGTACAAAGTCACAGAGAATATTTTAACTGACAATGACACTGTGATGTGCTTCATATAAGAATGGTATTTCTTTTGTTGATACTCTGCAAGTTTTCAAGATATCTGCATATGATTTAGAAGTTCTGTCAAATGTATTTGTTATGCAACCTGAGACTTTCACATATACCGGTTTTGCTAAAATATTGCTGTTGAGTTTTTGAAATTTTTTTAGATAAATATTGGTCAAAATATTTACATTGAGAAATATGTAAGTTCTACTAAGTTTGGATAGAAAAAGCAGAAAAATGCTCTATTAAGAAAATATTAATGGAGAAGATGTTCCATAAGGTGTAACTGTTTACTTCTCCTGTTTCTCCTGTTTCCCCAGGCGGGGGGAACACAAAGTCCCAAGCAATCTTAGTATCTAACTAAAATCCGTGAATCTAGGTAATGTGATAGTCTCTAAATGAAGTCTGGATGTGATTCCTATTGACCTAAGTGTCAATGATCCCCTTTCCCCTACCAAATATTACATAGTGAAGCAGACACAAGACAACCACAGTGACCATTTTGACATGGGAAGAACAGGAGATATAATGGTCATTGGTCAACAGCAATTCTGAAATCCAGCTGTGTGGAATTTATGAGGTGCTTTTACACTGGAAGTGTATTCCTTGATTAGACCCTAATTTCACTTCCTAGGATTAGCAATCCAGTTCTGTACCTTGTTCTCCATCATCCATGGGATTGACCTTTGGGAGTTCTTTAACTTTCTATTATCCTTCTTGTCTTCACTTAAAGAGGGAATTTGAGAATTTGTCTTCTCTGGAGGCTGTGCAGGATTTTTTTATAGGCTTGTTTTACATCTTTAGAATATTGAGGTCATTTTATTTTTTATTCCAGAGAGGTGGATGACTTAGTGGAATTATAGCCTCAAAAGGTTCATTGCCCATTGCCCTATGCACAAGACAAATCAATACACCAAGACATCAGGTTGCAGCAGAGAAGGAGGTTTAATTGTAGGGCCGCCAAACAAAGAGACAGGAGGAAACCTGAAGGCCGTCTTCTCGAGGAGTTTGAGGGTAGGGTTTTTAAAGGTTTTGGAGTGGACTGATGTGTGGAGATTGTTGATTAGTTGAAGAGTGCAGGGTGCAGTCATGAGACAGGGAGAAGAAGAAACTGCATTCTCATGCTGATTTAGTTCTCATGTGGGGTTTTCGGGTTGGCATCAGCTGTTCTGCTGGAATTCAGGATTCTTAAAAGTCTTATGATTCTAACTTCAGATATCCTACCTAGAAGAACAATGGACATGCAAATGGTCGATATCTAGTGACTTTGATTTTGGTTACAAGGAAGTGAATCAAATTGCAGCCTGACTAATGCATACTTGTAACTATATTTCTGTCCAGAATTCTTGTTAACCCTGTGATGACAGCTTCAGAATAACCCCCTTAAAGATTCAAGTCTTTTGTGTGTGTGTCATAACTTCTGGTTATAAAACATACTATTCTTTTAATGATATGACTCTCCCTTTAGATTTAATTTTGGGTACCTTGATCCTGCCAGGAATCTGTAGAACAGGCTTACCTTCAGTCTCATTTCCTTGCACTATTTGTTGAACTGAAAGGATTGACTGAGCATCATCTTAAACTACTGTATAGTTTTAACAGTGAGTGTGATAGTCATACACTTGACTTTACTGTGAATCTGAGTTTTGATTGACCTTTGCTGATCAAATCATTTCTCAATTTTGCTTTTTAATGGTTGTGGTTAAAAATGTGTTTCAACCCTACACACCCCTAAAATTCTAAACAATGCCATCATATTTTTGCATGAAAACCATTGAATTATTTTCCAAGCTCATCTCTTTCCTATAGTACTGTGTCTGGAATTGGTGGGTTCTTGGTCTCACTGACTTCAAGAATGAAGCCGCGGACCCTCGCGGTGAGTGTTACAGCTCTTAAGGTGGCGCGTCTGGAGTCTGTCCCTTCTGATGTTCAGATGTGTTCGGAGTTTCTTCCTTCTGGTGGGTTCGTGGTCTTGCTGGCTCAGGAGTGAAGCTGCAGACCTTCGCGGTGAGTGTTACAGCTCTTAAGGTAGCGCGTCTGGAGTTGTTCGTTCCTCCCGGTGGGCTCCTGGTCTTGCTGGGATCAGGAGTGAAGCTGCAGATCTTCGCGGTGAGTGTGACAGCTCATAAAAGCAGCGTGGACCCAAAGAGTGTGCAGTAGCAAGATTTATTGCAAAGAGCGAAAGAACAAAGCTTCCACACTGTGGAAGGGGACCCCAGGGGGTTGCCATTGCTGGCTTGGGCAGCCTGCTTTTATTCTCTTATCTGGCCCCACCCACATCCTGCTGATTGGTGGAGCCGAGTGGCCTCTTTTGTCAGGGTGCTGATTGGTGCGTTTACAATCCCTGAGCTAGATACAAAGGTTCTTCACATCCCCATTAGATTAGTTAGATACAGAGTTTCCACACACAGGTTCTCCAAGGCCCCACCAGAGCAGCTAGATACGGAGTGTCGATTGGTGCACTCACAAACCTTGAGCTAAACACAGGGTGCTGATTGGTGTATTTACAATCCCTGAGCTAGACATAAAGGTTCTCCAAGGCCCCACCAGAGCAGCTAGATACAGAGTGTCCACTGGTGCACTCACAAACCTTGAGCTAGACACACGGTGCTGATTGGTGTGTTTACAATCCCTGAGCTAGATATAAAGACTCTCCACCTCCCCACCAGACTCAGGAGCCCAGCTGGCTTCACCTAGTGGATCCCGCACCGGGGCTGCAGGTGGAGCTGCCTGCCAGTCCTGCGCCGTGCGCTCGCATTCCTCAGCCCTTGGGTGGTCGATGGGACTGGGCGCCGTAGAGCAGGGGGTGGTGCTCGCTGGGGAGGCTCGGGCGCACAGGAGCCCATGGAGTGGGTGGGAGGCTCAGGCATGGCGGGCTGCAGGTCCCGAGCCCTACCCCGCGGGAAGGCAGCTAAGGCTCGGTGAGAAATCGAGCGCAGCATCGGTGGGCTGGCACTGCTGGGGGACCCAGTTCACTCTCCGCAGCCACTGGCCCGGGTGCTAAGTCCCTCATTGCCTGGTGCCAGCAGGGCTGGCCAGCTGTTCCGAGTGTGGGGCCGCCAAGACCACGCCCACCCGGAACTCCAGCTGACCCGGAACTCCAGCTGGCCCGCAAGCGCGGCAGGCAGCCCCGGTTCCTGCTCGCACCTCTCCCTCCACACCTCCCTGCAAGCTGAGGGAGTGGGCTCCAGCCTTGGCCAGCCCAGAAAGGGGCTCCCACAGTGCAGCGGCGGCCGAAGGGCTCCTCAAGTGTCGCCAAAGTGGGAGCCCAGGCAGAGGAGGCACCGAGAGCGAGCGAGGGATGTGAGGACTGCCAGCACGCTGTCACCTCTCAGTACCATTACAAATGCAACCATCACAAATTCTCTTTGTTAAACTTGTTCAACTTTTGACCTAAAGCTACAAGTTCACTGGGATATTTTCTCTCTTTCATGGTATCACAAGTGACAGTTTTATGTTTCACTCTTGCGTAATACAAATTGCCTTTCTTACAGCCTCCAGTAAGAGTTCCCTTGCTGTTTACTGCCCAGACTTAAAGTAAATACTGTGCATTTTATTGTCATTGTTACAGTAGCACCAATTTCAGGTAATCAATATTTATATGAAGATAAACTGGGAAAGGAAAGAGATGAAAGAAAGAGAGAAAGAAAGAGAAAGAAAGAAAGGGCAGAGAGAGAAAGAAAGGCAGGCTGAAAGAAGGAAAGAAAGAAAGAAAAGAAAACCTGAAATATATTGGTTTTTAACAAGACAGTTTTTTGTGTGTGTGTGTGTGTGTTTTTTTTACATAATATGCCCATTTCCATTGAGCCAGGGGCTCTCTGTTCTTATGAGTCCATACAATACATAAAACACTGCCGAGCACACACATAGTCAATATATATCTATTATTACTATTATTATCATTATTAATTACAACTTTGAGGCTGGGATATTTGTTACTATCTTTGAATTTGTTATTTTGCAAATTAGTCATTCCTCACTTTTGACCTCTTTACTCCATTCCTGGTCTGTATTCTAATCTACTCCTTATTCGGGTCCATGGCTTGTTTTAGGTAAACAAATACAATTGATTTCAATGATCAGAGGAGCTTTAATTAAAAAATTAGGGTTTGTTTAAAACAGATTCAATTATACAGGGAGTGGATTAAGGTTTAGTTTATTCATTGTATCTATCCCTGTATAGACTCTCACCCTTATCAGAGGGATCATGTGAGTTCCACAGTACATCATCTAGGCTTTTGGACATTCCAGACTTCCCAGTGATATGAGATTACTAAATGCATATAGAAGATAACAACAACAACAAGAAAACAAAGACTATGATCTTGGCCTTAGAATTCAAGCAAACTCTAGGTAGTGGCTCTGTTTTAGCCCCTAAATATGGCAAGGTCTGAGCCAGAAATGAATTTGATGAACTGTGTGACTTGATGAACTACAAATACAAGAACCAAATAATCACTGTGAGATTTTAGACCTCAAAAATCTCCCAGGACTGAATAGTCTGACTATAAGTGCTTTGTATCATCGTCTAGGAGGTTCAAAACGTGTATAGGAGATGATATTTGTGGAACCTCTTAGGGACTAAGAGACTATACACATCACTACACAGGCTTCAGTGATTTAGATCATGATTGCTACCTGGAAGCTGCTATCTGGAAGCTACATTTGAAAAATCTGCAATTAAAGGAAGGGAAGGAATAATTTCAGAACATCCACAGGAAAGTTCAGTAAAGATAAAATAGTTTTGGTAACTGAAAAATATTACATTTGCAAATGATTATTGCGATGTAGAATTCCAAGAGCAATTTTAGATAGACAATTGTTACATTTAACTTCAGGGACTACATTAAGAACCTTTTCTTGAGAAATTTGCCTTGCTTAATGGCTTTAGAGCTAAATGGAAATCATTGTCACTGTAATTTCAAATATAAAACAAAACAAAATAGTTTGATGCAAGTTTTCAATTTGCATATAAGCAATTGTGTTTAATTTTCAGAAACTTAACTCAAACTCGTTAAATTTCATTTATTCAGTAAACATAAAAATAGAAAACATGTATGTTATAATTATATGAGACTATTTCACAACCTCTCTTTGCCTAAAATATGCGGTATTATATTGACATTTTCACACCAGAACTTTCCTTTTGTTAACTGAGGCAAGTCACAAAATTAACATGTTTTTGTTGTTCATATTGGAAAGATTTAAAAGTAAGCAAATGAAAGCTGGATAAATTTGTAATTATCTGAATCCTCCATTATGCCTGCATTAGTTTTCTGTTGCTATAACAAATTGCCACAACCTTAGTGAAATAAAACAACACAAATAGATTATCTCACAGTTTCAAGAGGTCAGAATTTGGTGATTTCAGCTAGTTTCTCTGCTCCAAGTCTCCCCAGGAAGAAGTCGAAATGTTGACAGAGTACCATGGCTTTTCGGGGAATATAAGATAATCTGTTTCCTTGCTCGCTCAGATTGCTGGCAGAATTCAGTGCATTTTGATTTTGAGATTGAGGTCCCTGTTTTCCTTCTGACAATTGGCTTGAGGTCTTCTCAGCCTCTAGAGGCAGCCCACTTTCCCTGTATAACAGCCCCCTTCCTCTAGGTTGAAATTTTCTCAGGCTTTGAATTTCTCCCCTCCCTCCCTTTTCCAGAGCATCTGTATTATTCAGGGCTCACTAGAGGAACAACATTAATAGGATAGATGTGTATATAAAGGGGAGTTTATTAAGGAGAATTGACTCACACGATCACAAGGTGACGTCCCACAGTAGGCCGTCTGAAAGCTGAGGAGCAAGGAAGCCAGTCCAAGTCCCAAAATCTGAAAAGTAGGGAAGCCAACAGTGCAATCTTTAGTCTCTGGCCAAAGGCCCAAGAGCCCCTGACATACAGTAGTGTAAGTCCAAAAGGTCCAAAGCTGAAGAACTTGCAGTTCGGTGTTCAAGAGCAGGAACCATCCAGCACAGAAGAAAAATGAAGGCAGGAAGACTCAGCGGGTCTGCTCTTCCACCTTCTCCTGCCTGCTTTATTCTAGCTGCTCTGGCAGCTGATAGATGATGCCCACCCAGATTGAGGGTGGGTCTGCCTCTCCCTATGCACACTAACTCAAATGTTAATCTCCTTTGGCAACACCCTCACAAACACACCCAGGAACAATACTTTGCATCCTTCGATCCAATCAAGCTGACACTCAATATTAACCATCACAGCATCTTTCTGAATTCAGCTGAAAAAAGGCTCTCCTCCTTTAAGGACTAGAGTGATTAGACTGAAACTGTCTAATCCAGGATAGTCTCCTCATCATACCCTTCATCACCTCTGCAAAGTTTCTTTTAGCATGTAAGCTGACATATTCATAGGTGCAATATCAAGGGATTGAAGATTAAGGGGGCAAAACTGCCAACCCCAATACTAAGTCATTTTAAAATACAGGGTTTAATGTAAACATAACATTCCCATACTGATATCTATCAGGGGAACTTTTATTGCTTTTGTATAAGTTTGAGATTTCTATATAGCCACTAAGTGTGTCTCTTCTATGCCTAATATCATTATTTTAGAAAATATTTTCTCAGATTCTTGAACTGTAATATGAGATATTGAATTAAGTTGTAATGTTTACTTTAATTGCTGTTTGAGAATATCTGCCTGTCTGCCTATCTATCTATCCATCCATCTATCATATACTTACCTGTAGTTAATTATTTAGGAATAGGATGCATTAATTCCTGAAAGCAGAACATTCTTCCATGTGATTACTCCCTTGCTTCCCACTCAACATGAGCCTATGTTCAAGAAAGGTGAGTTATGCTAGGTTATACAAGAGAGACAGAGAAAATACCAATTGTCTTCTGTCTCACTTTATTCCAAAAGTAAACACTATGCACCATTTGTGACTCACTGGACGTCTACTGCATGTTAGACATCATCTAAGAAATGTACATACATTAGTTTTAATTCACAAAATAATTCCATGTTTATTTAACAATGATTCATATGTACATACTCAAGACTCTGAACTGAACTGATTAAATGGCAAATCCAGGCTAACCTTTTATCGCTTCAATTTTTTTTTCAAAAAGTTTTTACTGAATACCTATTATGTATTAAACTTTCCCCTAGGCACAACACTATACTAAAAATTTGTAAGTGTAAATTCATAAAAATTATTTATCTCAGCTGTCCTTTAAAGATAAATTTACTTATTATAAACAACTGTTAAAAATTACCCAAATTATTTTGAGCTGAAGCCACCTGAAATATCTGCATTAAATTTTAATGTAGTTCATTTCAAGGGATAAACATTCATTTTATATAAGCAGTTTAAAAATTAAGGCAAATGATTTTAAAATAATAATATATATGCAAAATGTTTTTCATGTTAGTTCCTCCTGGATGATGACTTCGCTGTCCCCTGCTTTCTACTAGGTTCCTATGAAAAATGGAGATTGAGAAAATTACAACCAAGTCTTTGGAGGTTATCCAGCAGGACATTGTCCATCAACTGCATCAGCTTGTGTGCCCAGAGCTCAGACTCTTTCTTTCCTCCCAATTCTGTAATTAGAAGTAAGGTCTACTGTTTGCCTGGCCATATCTCAAATTAAGGTATTAAAAAGGAGAATCACCAAGCTTGGAGGCCCAGGCCTACAATCTCAGTACTTTGGGAGTCTGAAGTGGGAGAATCACATGAGCCCAGGATTTTGAGACCAGCCTGGGCAACATAGACAGATCTCAGCTGTACGAATAATTTGAAAATTAGTCGGGTGGTGTTGTGCATGCTTATAGTTCCAGCTACTTGGGAGGGTGATGTTGGGAGGACCACCGGACCCGAGAGGTTGAAGCTGCAATGAGCTGTAGCTGCCCCACTGTACTCCTGCCTGGGTGACAGAGAGATACTGTTTCAAAACCAGAAAAAAAAAAAAAAGAAAGATTATTCCTATATAGTAAGAGATATTCATTAAAAATGTGGTCTTACTCTTGATTAACTCAAGAAATGCAACAATCTTAACAATGATAGTCTGCTTTGAAGTACGTTTTTCTCCAATGCAGTAATCCAAACCAGGTATCCCAAATATTTATTCTTATTATTCCAAGGAAAAATAATTTTAACACCACCATCCCATAAAACTGTTGTATAGATCTTAAATAAGAAAAAATATGCAAATTACTTACCATAATTGAATAATGTGTAAAAGAATGTAGCTACTACTATTATTTTAATAATGATAATATTACAATAATAATGGAAAACATGTCTAAGGAAAATTTGATTAATAGCAGAAGTAATTTTGAAATCTCTAAATCAGAAAATTTATAAAAAGTTGATGTATTTCAAGGTAATTTAAGTTGGTGCTCTAACTTATGGCTAACCTGATACAGAGCAACTGTTTTCAGTGTAGCCTGTAGAAATAAAGAAGAAAAATATAAAGTTCAAATTTCTCATCTCCAAAGGTTCTCCTCTGTGTCTAACCTGTGTGAAGAAAACAATGGATTAACCAACTGGGGAGAAGAGTGAGCCCCAGAGAGAATCAGCTGAGAAGGACAAACGATTCTGTCTCATTCTGGTCTCCATTTAGATATCCCTTTATTGCTGACATAAACTGGAAAAGTTGTTCAGTTAAATTTATAGACATCTCTGTCTTGTGCTTGGAGACTTGGGAACTGCTTATTTTTAGTTTTGTTTAGTTTTATTATTTTTTCTATAATGTGCCACAATATTTGCCACAAGGAAAGATTAGTGAAAGCATAACACCACAGCTTTATAAACACCTGTTAATTAACTCACTTAACTTCTCTTCATTGAATGCTATGATTATCTGTATTTGGTGATTCATCATATTAGAACTCAGTAAAAGAGACACATCAAGGAAACATTTAAAAATAAAAATTATACTTTACAGACAAGCAAATGCTGAGAGATTTTGTTACCACCAGGCCTGCCCTAAAAGAGCTCCTGAAGGAAGTGCTAAACATGGAAAGGAACAACCAATACCAGCCGCTGCAAAATCATGCCAAAATGTAAAGACCATCGAGACTAGGAAGAAACTGCATTAACTAACAAGCAAAATAACCAGCTAACATCATAATGACAGGATCAAATTCACACATAACAATATTAACTTTAAATGTAAATGGACTAAATGGTCCAATTAAAAGACACAGACTGGCAAATTGGATAAAGAGTCAAGACCCATCAGTGTGCTGTATTCAGGAAACCCATCTCACGTGCAGAGACACACATAGGCTCAAAATAAAAGGATGGAGGAAGATCTACCAAGCCAATGGAAAACAAAAAAAGGCAGGGGTTGCAATCCTAGTCTCTGCTAAAACAGACTTTAAACCAACAAAGATCAAAAGAGACAAAGAAGGCCATTACATAATGGTAAAGGGATCAATTCAACAAGAAGAGCTAACTGTCCTAAATATATATGGACCCAATACAGGAGCACCAAGTTTCATAAAGCAAGTCCTGAGCGACCTACAAAGAGACTTAGACTCCCACACATTAATAGTGGGAGACTTTAACACCCCACTGTCAACATTAGACAGATCAACGAGACAGAAAGTCAACATGGATACCCAGGAATTGAACTCAGCTCTGCACCAAGCAGACCTAATAGATATCTACAAAACTCTCCACCTCAAATCAACAGAATATACATTTTTTTCAGCACCACACCACACCTATTCCAAAATTGACCACATAGTTGGAAGTAAAGCTGTCCTCAGCAAATGTAAAAGAACAGAAATGATAACAAACTGTCTCTCAGACCACAGTGCTATCAAACTAGAACTCCGGATTAAGAAACTCACTCAAAACTGCTCAACTACATGGAAACTGAACAACCTGATCCTGAATGACTACTGGGTACATAACAAAATGAAGGCAGAAATAAAGATGTTCTTTGAAACCAATGAGAACAAAGACACAACATGCCAGAATCTCTGGGACGCATTCAAAGCAGTGTGTAGAGGGAAATTTATAGCACTAAATGCCCACAAGAGAAAGCAGGAAAGATCCAAAATTGACACCCTAACATCACAATTAAAAGAACTAGAAAAGCAAGAGCAAACACATTCAAAAGCTAGCAGAAGGCAAGAAATAACTAAAATCAGAGCAGAACTGAAGGAAATAGAGACACAAAAAACCCTTCAAAAAATTAACGAATCCAGGAGCTGGTTTTTTGAAACGATCAACAAAATTGAGAGACTGCTAGCAAGACTAATAAAGAAAAAAAGAGAAGAATCAAATAGACACAATAAAAAATGATAAACGGGATATCACCACCGATCCCACACAAATACAAACTACCATCAGAGAATACTACAAACACCTCTACGCAAATAAACTAGAAAATCTAGAAGAAATGGATGAATTCCTCGACACATACACCCTCCCAAGACTAAACCAGGAAGAAGCTGAATCTCTGAATAGACCAATAACAGGATCTGAAATTGCGGCAATGATCAATAGCTTACCAACCAAAAAGAGTCCAGGGCCAGATGGATTCACAGCCGAATTCTACCAGAGGTACAAGGAGGAGCTGGTACCATTCCTTCTGAAACTATTCCAATCAATAGAAAAAGAGGGAATCCTCTCTAACTCATTTTATGAGGCCAGCATCATCCTGATACCAAAGCCTGGCAGAGACACAACATAAAAAGAGAATTTTAGACCAATATCCTTGATGAACATTGATGCAAAAATCCTCAATAAAATACTGGCAAACCGAATCCAGCAGCACATCAAAAAGCTTATCCACCATGATCAAGTGGGCTTCATCCCTGGGATGCAAGGCTGGTTCAACATACGCAAATCAATAAATGTAATCCAGCATATAAACAGAACCAAAGACAAAAACCGCATGATTATCTCAATAGATGCAGAAAAGGCCTTTGACAAAATTCAACAACCCTTCATGCTAAAAACTCTCAATAAATTAGGTATTGATGGGACGTATCTCAAAATAATAAGAGCTATCTATGACAAACCCACAGCCAATATCATACTGAATGGGCAAAAACTGGAAGCATTCCCTTTGAAAACGGGCACAAGACAGGGATGCCCTCTCTCACCACTCCTATTCAACATAGTGTTGGAAGTTCTGGCCAGGGCAATTAGGCAGTGGAAGGAAATAAAGGGTATTCAATTAGGAAAAGAGGAAGTCAAATTGTCCCTGTTTGCAGATGACATGATTGTATATCTGGAAAACCCCATTGTCTCAGCCCAAAATCTCCTAAAGCTGATAAACAACTTCAGCAAAGTCTCAGGATACAAGATCAATGTACAAAAATCACAAGCATTCTTATACACCAATAACAGACAAACAGAGAGGCAAATCATGAGTGAACTCCCATTCATAATTGCTTCAAAGAGAATAAAATACCTAGGAATCCAACTTACAAGGGACGTGAAGGACCTCTTCAAGGAGAACTACAAACCACTGCTCAATGAAATAAAAGAGGATACAAACAAATGGAAGAACATTCCATGCTCATGGGTAGGAAGAATCAATATCGTGAAAATGGCCATACTGCCCAAGGTAATTTGCAGATTCAATGCCATCCCAATCAATCTACCAATGCCTTTCTTCACAGCATTGGAAAAAACTACTTTAAAGTTCATATGGAACCAAAAAAGAGCCCGCATCGCCAAGTCAATCTGAAGCCAAAAGAAAAAAGCTGGAGGCATCACACTACCTGACTTCAAACTATACTACAAGACTACAGTAACCAAAACAGCATGGTACTGGTACCAAAACAGAGATATAGATCAATGGAACAGAACAGAGCCCTCAGAAATAATGCCGCATATCTACAACTGTCTGATCTTTGACAAACCTGAGAAAAACAAGCAATGGGGAAAGGATTCCCTATTTAATAAATGGTGCTGGGAAACTGGCTAGCCATATGTAGAAAGCTGAAACTGGATCCCTTCCTTACACCTTATATAAAAATCAATTCAAGATGGATTAAAGACTTATACATTAGACCTAAAACCGTAAAAACCCTAGAAGAAAACCTAGGCATTACCATTCAGGACATAGGCATGGGCAAGGACTTCATATGTAAAACACCAAAAGCAATGGCAACAAAAGCCAAAATTGACAAATGGGATCTAATTAAACTAAAGAGCTTCTGCACAGCAAAAGAAACTACCATCAGAGTGAACAAGCAACCTACAAAATAGGAAAAAATTTTTGCAACCTACTCATCTGACAAAGGGCTAATATCCAGAATCTACAATGAACTCAAACAAATATACAAGAAAAAAACAAACAGCCCCATCGAAAAGTGGGCGAAGGACATGAACAGACACTTCTCAAAAGAAGACATTCATGCAGCCGAAAAACACATGAAAAAATGCTCACCATCACTGGCCGTCAGAGAAATGCAAACCAAAACCACAATGTGATACCATCTCACACCAGTTAGAATGGCGATCATTAAAAATTCAGGAAACAACAGGTGCTGGAGAGGATATGGAGAAATAGGAACACTTTTACACTGTTGGTGGGACTGTAAACTAGTTCAACCATTGTGGAAGTCAGTGTGGCAATTCCTCAGGGATCTAGAACTAGAAATACCATTTGACCCAGCCATCCCATTACTGGGTATATACCCAAAGGACTATAAATCATGCTGCTATAAACACACATGCACATGTATGTTTATTGCAGCATTATTCACAATAGCAAAGACTTGGAACCAACCCAAATGTCCAACAATGATAGACTGGATTAAGAAAATGTGGCACATATACACCATGGAATACTATGCAGCCATCAAAAATGATGAGTTCATGTCCTTTGTAGGGACATGGATGAAGCTGGAAATCATCATTCTCAGCAAACTATTGCAAGTGCAAAAAACCAAACACCACATATTCTCACTCATTGGTGGAAATTGAACAATGAGAACACATGGACACAGGAAGGGGAACATCACACTCTGGGGATTGTGGTGGGGTGGGGGGAGGGGGGAGGGATAGCATTGGGAGATATACCTAATGCTAGATGACGAGTTAGTGGGTGCAGCGCACCAGCATGGCACATGTATACATATGTAACTAACCTGCACATTGTGCACATGTACCCTAAAACTTAAAGTATAATAATAATAAATTTAAAAAATATATTATAAATAATACCATATGAACTTATTTTGCTAATTTTATATAATTTTAATTCAGGTCTCATTAAACATTTATCAATATACCTTGCTAATTTTATGTAATTTTAATTCAGGTATCATTAAACATTTACCAATAGATATGTGATAGAATGATAGAATAGTTTTTGAAGTCGTAACAAGTGAGTTTCTTTTTCTCTATTAATTTGCATTCTGACTGTCACTAGTAAACTAGATATTTTAAGTCCCTCATAAGTAAATCAATAGCTTCGTTCACAGGCTCTTGTTATATTGTCAACCTGCTGAATTAATATCAAATATAGATAAGAGGTGAAACAATATTTTTTTTCTCCAGGTCAACATTTCTTAGTTATACATAGGTTTCTAACACTCTTGATGTTTAATGAATATCTGCAGAAACAAGCACATTAAATTATTTAAAATCACCTGAACTGAAGATCAAAGAAAGTATAAAAAATATTTCTCCCTTTCCATAAAAATCCATGTCCTAATGTTAGAAATCATTTGTTGTAACTGCATATGATGTTTAATTTTTATTTGTTTTAATGTTTATACACATATTCAATACTTAATTCGTATAAATAAGCCAGGGAAATAATAACATTTTTAAAAGCTTCAATGTATTAGTTAGTCATAGTGATCAGTCACCAATTGAATTAAAAATATTGAACTAAGATATATACGTATTTATTTTTTCTTCGTTTTATTAGAAAATAAAGGCTTACTTTTTTTTTTTGTTTTTTTAGACAGAGTGTCACTCTGTCACCAGGCTGGAGTGCAGTGGCGTTATCTCGGCTCACTGCAACCTTGACCTCCCGGGTTCAAGCTATTCTCCTGCCTCAGCCTTCCGAGTAGCTAGGAGTACAGGCACGTGCCACCACACCCAGCAAATTTTTGTATTTTTAGTAGACACGGGGTTTCACCATTTTGGCCAGGATGGTCTCAATCTCTTGACCTCGTGATCCACCCACCTCGGCCTCCCAAAGTGCTAGGATTACAGGTGTGATCCACTGCGCCCGGCCTAAAGATTTACTTCTTAAAACATATAGGAAAATAATGCCATATTAAATTCTCTGGTTCAATAAAATTAGTCTTAAAATTGGTCTAACTTGTGGGTTTGTTGTTTGAAGCAAACAAGGTTGATTAACACATTAATTGTCTTAAACAGTGATTTGATTATTTGCAAGAGTAATGAATTTCTAGAGAGTGAACAAATAATTTTGAGTGAATTAAAACAAACTCAGAAAACTTAAACACAAGAATTAGTGAAGAAACTCACAGAGCAGAAACATTTTATATGACTATTAACACTAGAAAAATGTCATTACATCAGAATAAATGAGTAAAACATGTGGAATAAAAGCTGGCTTTAAAAATTGGATATCAGCCTTCCATTATACTAAAATATATAATTTAATAAAATTAATTACTTAAAACTGAAAAACTGTAAGAGTAAATGTTTAATGCTTGATGCTAATGCATTAACATGTTCTTCTAACTCTTGATACAATTTTGTGTCAAGAAGTTCACATCAAATTAATTTGTGTTCATACTATTTGATAATTTTTTTTTCTTTCTTTTTTTTTTCTTTTTTGAGATGGAGTCTCGCTCTCTCGCCCAGGCTGGAGTGCAGTGGTGCGATCTCAGCTCACTGCATGCTCCGCCTCCTGGCCTCACGCCATTCTCTCGCCTCAGCCTCCCAAGTAGCTGGGACTGCAGGCGCCCGCCACCACGACCGGCTAATTTTTTGTATTTTTAGTAGAGACAGGGTTTCACCGTGTTAGCCAGGTTGACTTTGATCTCCTGACCTCATGATCTGCCCGCCTTGGCCTCCCAAAGTGCTGGGATTACAGGCGTGAGCCACCGCACCTGGCTGAGAACTTTTTTTGCTAAGTAACCATATCTGAGAAGTATTCGTGTAGATGCCCTGGGGGAAAACATACTTTAAAAATCAAATATATATATCTGGTCTCAAGAAAACATAATATTTAAAAAATTAAAAATCATATTATCCAAAAGACAGTAAAAATGTGGCACAGTAAACATCATTTAGCTTTGTGTCTACATAGATAATATATAGAGTACATATATATGTACTAAATATATATATTTATATATACACACACATATATATATATATAAATAAATAAAATGAACTCGGTTTTGAATATTCGGATAACTGGGATGAATTATTTTCCTCAGAGTATTCATTTAAATTGGCCAATGCTCATTTAATACCCACTACTTGCCAGTCTTGTTCAAAAGATGAAAACTGCAAAGTACCCTAAACTTTGTCTCAAGCAAGGTATTGATCAATAGTAATGTAGATGTAAAATTAAAAATGAAAGGACAAAGTAATTTGCAAAGTATTTTAAAATAATTATTCGAATTCAATTAACCTACTTGCAGACAAGTTACTAAGCAACATTTTTCAGATTTTTGAAATAGCAAACACGATGATTGAATTTCGCCTTTTGGTATGTTCTAGAAAGTTTTGTTTGATTCTGCACAGTGTAGCAGTAAGCTAGTGGTTTTGAATAGATAATGAACAATGAGAACATACCTCTCATCTTTTGCAAGGACTAGCCTTTGTAGTGTGTATACATGCACACACAAACATGCATGTATGTGTTTATGTCTATAACTTTATTGATAATCTTTAAAGATTACTACAGAATATGCATAGATTGTATTTGAATATTTACAGATTTTATTTAAAAGGCTGGCATATAAATGCAGGCTGAGAAGTATTTCATTAACCATTTTGCCTCTAGAGGATTTAAGAATAATGACAAATAAAAAACAAATACTGTCATTTATTTGCTGTAATTGATGCAACCACTTTCTCTATCTAATAATATAAATGTTTTTCTTGCCAAGTAGATTAAACCTATGTAGATCCATTTTAAGTACACCTAGTTCATTCTTATGCATTTTATAACAAATGTACATTTTGTGGAGACAACTGGTCATCTATGGGGAACATGGTTTATTGTACTTTCTTCTGAGTCATGACATTCATTGGACTACATCCAACATATATATAATTTTTTAATGCAACATATTCTGGATCCTTTCACAGGCATAGATATTGCTAGGTGGTGAACTTTTCTGGAGATATCCATACATATTACCATTTTTACCAAATATACGGACATTAAATGAATTAAAGCTTTGACCCCAGACAACAAGATTCTTTAATTAGGGTGTAATTGTTAACTAGTCCTGTGTATTTTGGTGAAGTACAGTGTAGCAAGAGTAATTTTTATATGGTAGTCTAAATTTTCAGCATCTCACCATCTGTTTGGGGGTCCATATCTCCAAAAACACTCATAATGTGCATTTGTATAGATTTCAGATTTAGTTATGAAATGTGTAGTTATTATCTGTGAAATAATATAAACCTAAAGATAATGGAAAATGAAATAAGTGAAATTTAAAGACACGTCGTATTGTATATCCCATGTGCCTGGCACTTTGTGAATAATTAAATTTTGTACTAATCATGGACACCATGTTGCCTGTAGTAACTAAATTGCTTCTTTTTCAGTTGTTTAAGAAAAGTATGCAAAAGTTTCCAACTTTATTAATTTAGGCTCTTTTATTTCATAATCTAAATAAATATTTTTACCTAATAACCATAAACCATCCATATGAAAAACATAAAAAAATTAGGTTTGAAGTTATCAAAGTAGGAAATCATATTACAAATGAAAACATATATTATGTGAAGACCGAGGTAGTGTGTTTTTAATCACTTTATCATAATTCATCATAATTGAAAAAAGTCAATACTCAGTTAAACGAATTGCCTGGATCCTTACATTCTGTTGTACACATGGCTTACATTCAAGACAAAGTTATCTGCTAACTTTTAGTACCTGTAAAAACTACCCTAAATCATGTAAACCCATTTACTTGTGTACATATTTAAATAAATTCTGTTTGGCTGGCAATCAGATCATGTATTTGAATTGCTGCTAATGCTCACACACAGAATATTTCAGGGTCCATTTCTTTCTTTCTTTTCCACTTAAAAATGATCTTACCCAGTGTACCAGACTGAAAATTATACTTCAAATTCAGATTTCCCACACTGCAGATGTTTTTCCTTTTTATGTTCATAATTACTATGATGAACAGTGAATTATTGACAAGATTGCTTGAAGAATATTCATAGAAAGGATTCAACTAGGTCTCTCACCTTATCCATGGAGAAGTCACCACCGTATTAAATAATAAAATTAATTTAGTCAACAAATATACCAATATTCTGAACATCTATTGTATTCCAGACACCTCTAATTTAATATATTGATTTCTCCAACACTAAATAATGTGATTTTGCATGTACTGTTATATTCATAAGAAAGACAAGAAAATTAAAGTTATAAGACAGACGTGTATATCTGTGCAATGGAAATAGTTGAAGCAAAAACCATCTATAAACTGAGATGCCTCTGTAGCTGTTTCATTTACAGAGACTTCTGGGGTGGTTAGAAAAAAGTTAATTTAAGTTTTAAGATTGTTATTTTCTTTATATATTTATCTTGTTTACACAGTAATGCTCAAGAAAAATTCATACCTAAACAGCCTTCATATTTTTGATAAAATTGATGAAATTCTAACCAGAAAAAGTAAAATAAGTAAAAAAAACAAAATACTTAAAAGGAGGGAAAATATGATGAGCAATTCTATTTTTTCCCAATCAACTAATATAAACTATCTTAATTTAAATTTAATCACTTGCTTTTTTAAGTTATAATAAATAACATACCAGAATAAAGATTAATAACATTCTATAAAATATATGAAAAGAAAACTTCTATGATTAATACTGTAGAATGAGTGATTATGTAATACCAATATCCACAATGTATTTTAATTAAATGATATTAACATTTCATATTGTAGAATGTTTAGTTGTTGCTTAGTTAACTCAGCAATAGAAATATTTAAAATAAAGTATTATTTTTCCAGAGGGTTAGGAATTTGTTCATGAGAATATTTCTATTCCATAATGCAGTTAATAAATACAATTTAGTTTATAGCTTGCAAGAATTAGTTTAGTCAGTGCATAATAAATTTAGTATCACCTAATTTAATCAGTTCATGGTAAATTTAGTACCTGTGTTTTTCTTTAAGCAGTAATCAGATAGATGGACCAAACAACAATCCGAATCAGTATCAAGGAAGTTCAATTCATCATATTTCATGAGCTCTGAATTATCTTTTGATTAAAATAGTAATACCCAGGATTATATGTCATACATAATAAATATATATGATATATACATATACACATATATATCATATATATACATATATATACAGGGTTTACATTCAAAGACACATGCCAATCCAAGCACCGTTATATTAATTGTTTTAACATCCTGTTAGCTGTCTAAAATGCTGGCTATGTCTAAATAATTTAATATATTTTTATACCATTATGAGTGTTCTTTTGGACTTTGCTAGTGAAATTGTTAAGATAATAAGTATTGTTAGGGCCATTTTAAATGGCTTATATATGCAAATAATGTTTTCTATATTACTAGATAAATTTTGAGAAATGTGACAAGTTTAAAGCAAATGTCTACTTTGCACTTTAGACTTTATTCTTCTGTTGATATACCTTTTGAGCAATGTTTCCTAAGCTTGGCTCAAGAATAGAACTTCTTGGGGATCTTTTAACGATCCTGATGATGAGGCAACATCCTAGGCCAATTAAGCCAGAAGTAGTGGGTTTGAGGCCCTTTTATTAGTATTTTTTAAAGCTCTATGGGAAATTGCTGTGTGCAGCCAATGTCAGAGAACTGTACTGTAAAGGTATAGAAATCTTGCGATAAATCGCAAATGCCATACTATTACAACTTTATGTGTACTAATAGGACATTTAAACAGATTGGAATTTGTAAATATAATATTTAACTGTCTCTGATCAATCAATATAATTTTTACAATAAAATAATTTTAATTCGAAATCTTTTCAGTCTTTTTCTGCTTGTCATGACTTAGGGCTTTAAGGAATTTATCTATAAAAAGAAAACTAAACATAAAACTAAGAAAATTAGGATTTCATGAGAAAACAAGAAATAGTCTTTCTTATATACCCATATTATATTCATACTGAAGGTATACTTTATACTGACTTTTCAAATAATTTATTTATGTTCTTAGAGTTTCACCAAAACTGGTTGGAAGCATGCTGCTTAAAGTTTTAAATTGCAATTATACAGAAAATGAACTTATGTAGGTTGAATTCTCTCAGTTCTTCATCATAATCAGTGAAGAAGACATGCATATACCAAGGAAGGGTAGCCAAGAAGAAAGGAAGCTTTTTTTTTTTCAATATTCTAATTATACCCACACGGTTATTTGATTCAAAAAATAAAAGAGAAAAGTGTGGAATAAAAAGTATGTATTATTTCCTGGGCATTAATTTATTAAATTATCAAGCCAAAACTAATAGTGCCCTTTGGGTCAACAGGCCATTTAAGCATTTAGTTAAATTTATATGAGTACATTGCCTGAAAGATAATTGTAATCGTATAAAATGATTCAGTTCAATGATTCCAGTGTGGCATAAAGATAATGAATCTTTTGTATCATTCATCCTGGGAATATTAACATTATTGAGTCCTATGACTACTAATGAGCTTTTTGCTAGGAAAAAGAATCAGTTACACAGAGAGATATTTTGATCATTATAAACACGATATTTTAAAAAGTAATTAGTATGCTTGTGAGTAAATAGCAGAATTAGAATTGGCTTTGATCATAAGGAAGCTGAATATTGCAAGCATCATATCATCCTGTGAAAATTAATCCGTTAATAAAACTAGAAAAGTTATAGAAGTTTTAAATAAAGTACAGTTAGGAAGACTTTGAAATATTGTCAGAGACAGAGGACATGTGTCAAATTTGAATAGAATAATTTGCTTTATATATAGGATGTTCCCCTGTAGTTATGGCACATAGGTTAGAATATTTGCAATGAAAAAATGCACCTTTTGACAAAGGTTCTGCAGCTCCAGAAACCTAAAAGTATCATAATAGGAAAATATAAACATAAAAATGTATCTAAATGATGGAACAAAATTTATCTGCGTATCCTTTTCTGCCCTCACCAATTTAGATTTCATTGTTAGCAATTAATGACTAATGAAGATAAATAATCCCTATGAGTTTGAGGTCATGCAAATCTGAGTAGACAAACTCTGATATGTTAAGAATAGTTAAAAAAGGGGGAAAAAAAGAACAACACAATACAAAGAAACCAAAAAAGAAAAACCACCAACAAATAAGGAATAGTTTAATAGGCCGGGCATGGCAGCTCATATTTGTAATCCCAGTGTTTTGGGAGTCTAAGGGGAAAGGTTCACTTGTGGCCTGAGTTTGCTTCAAGTCTGGACAACTTAGTAAGATACTGTCTCTACAAAAAATAAAAAAAATGAAAAAACTAGCCAGGCGTGGTGGCATGCACCTGTAGTCCCAACTGCTAGGGAGGCTGATTCGAAAGGATACTTGAGCCCAGGAGTTCAAGGCTGCAATGACCTAAAATTGCACCATTGCATTCCAGCCTGGGCTGGATATTTTTATAACCAGTGTGTGAACTATATCTCAAAAGGTGAAACACAATGCATTCAAAAAGATAAGTGTAGACACATGATATGTGGCCTATATATTTTTAGTGGCATAACAATTTAGTTTTATGTAACTTGCTTATGAACATGATACATATTCATATTATGCATTTGATTCAGAGGATTAAATGTATTTAGAATAGCTTTGGAGAAACTGATTGTTTAAAGAACTTTTTGTCATTGGTTTTGTCTGCAAAGAAATATGAACTTGAATTTCCATGTTAGATATCTGATAAAGAGTGAATGTAAAATATGATATTATAATACACTGCCAGGTGGCAATTCAAACCTTTCAAATGTGAGATAATGCAATAAAGGAAATAAAAAGTGATATTCAGTGTAAGTGAAATTATATTATACTGAATGAGAATCTCCTTTTAAGATGATTTGCAATTGTGATGATATTTTTCTCATCTAGAAAAAGGAGAGTCAGCTAAGTATTAGGAGTAACAAGGGTACATTCTCTATTTTAAAAGATTCATGTAATTTTAAAATTAAATTTTATACAGTTCTTACAATGTTAGTATTAGATTTTTTTTTTTTTTGGCTATCTTGGATACGTACAGTTGTACACCAGGTAAAGTTGTTTCAGTCAAGGATGGACCACATATACTAAGGTGGTCCTATAAGATAATAATAGAGCTGGAAAATTCCTATCTCTTAGTGGTGGTAGTCATGGTAATGTAGTAGTGCAATGCATTAGTCACATGCTTGTGGTGATGATGGTGAAAACAAACCTACTGCTCTGCCAGTCATACAAAAAATATAAGCAAATATAATTATGTGCTACTTTATAATAAAAGATTATGTTATTGATTTGTGTATTTACTATACTATGTTTTTAATCATTATTTTAGATTGTATTCTTTCTACTTATTAAAAAAGATTTAACTGTGAAACAGCCTCAGGTAGGCCTTTCAGGAGGTATTCCAGAAGAAGGCATTATTATCATAGGAGATAACAGCTCCATGTGTGTTATTTCCTCTGAAGACCTTTCTGTGGGACAAAATGTGGAGGTGAAGGGCAGTGATATTGATGATCTTGACACTTTGTAGGCATAGACTAATATGTGTGTTTGTATCTTAGTTTTTAACAAGAAAGTTTAGAAACTACAAACGAAAATAAATCTTTTAAAATTTTTATAAAAAGCTTATATAGTAAGGATATAAAGGAAAAAGCTTCTATAATAGGGATATAAAGCAAGAACATATTTTTTACGGTTGTGGAATGTTTTTGTGTTTTAACCTAAGTGTTATTACAGAAAAGTCAAAGAGTAAATAAAAAGTAAATAAACCTAAAATGTTATGGTGAGTTAATTTATCATTGAAAAAATGAAATATATTTTTAGTAAATGTAGTGTAGCCTAAGTGTACAGTGTTTATAAAGTGTACACTGTTTATAAAGTGTACAGTGTTTGTGAAGTATACAATAGTGTAACATCCTAGGCCTCCACATTCACTCAGCACTCACTCACTGACTCACCCAGAGCAACTTTCAGTCCTGCAAATTCTATTTGTGGCAAGTGCCCTATACAGTGTACCATTTTAAGTCTTTTAAACTGTATTTTTACCATACCTTTTCCTGTTTAAATATATTGAAATACTTACCATGTGATACAGTTGTCTCCAGTATTCTGTACAGTAGTACCTCATACAGGTTTGTAGCCTAGGAGCAATAGGCTATAGCATATAGTCTAGGTGTGTAGGAGGCTATCCCATTTAGGTTTCTGTAAGTACACTCTGTGATGTTCACACAATAACAAAATTGCCTAATGATACATTTCTCAGAATGTATCCTCATAATTAAGTGACACTTATCTATATCATTCTAAAGATTGCTGAATGTGTTTCCTCCACAAAATCAAGAATTTTTAAGAGTGGAATATATTCTTATTCTTTAGCAAGATAAAGATAAAAATATAAGAATATGAAATTATAATTTTAGAGTGTTTTGCTTTTGCTGCTTTCTCACATTCCAGGGAAAGCTAATTTGCTTTTCTCTGCAGAGATTGACACATAAGATGAAATGTAATTTTCTAACAATTGTATTTTCCAACTAAACAATAAGAGTGGCATTTTATTTCTGTGAATATCAATTCTGAAAGGAGAAAATTCTGCATAATGTATGTGTGTGGTTTTAAATATAATTTATTTTCACTCCATTCTGTTCGCTGAGATAATGGACTTTAAAGCACAAATTTTGTTTGGCCATATTAAAACATTAATTATCTCAGATAACTGCATATTTGAAGGTACGCAAAATAAATTTAAGATGAGTTTGATTAAACATACTTCTTAAAAATAAAAGTATTTATTTTTCAAAAAGTAATTAAAAGAAGCAGTAATATCATAGGGCGACTCTTATAAAAAGTACTATTTTAATAAACAGACAAAAATAAATAGAAGGCGTGAGGAAAGTTACAGCAGGAATCTTATTAATTGTATTGGTTCTGTTACAATGAAATTTGCAGAAAAGTTGTCAAGAGCACAAAGGGTAAAAAACTTGAGAAAGAATAACTTTAGAGAGAAGTTACTATGGTTTCTGTCAGATGTGACAGTATTTTTTTTTAAGTGAATACAGAGGAAAATAAATATTTTGCCTTGCCAATTTTGTGCAGAGTGCCAACCTTTATGACAAACTAAAAATGTGATCCAGGGTGAAATCTCATAAATGAGATTCTGGAGGCAAGTTTGAATATCACTGATGCCTGATAGCTAATTAATTAAATTGCAAGTGGTTGAGAGAGAATTTAAAGTTCCCTCAAAACATTAACTTCAAAAGTTTCACAAGAAATTATCACAATATCTAAATTAAGCATATTTGCTGAGATCATTTTTATTAGTTATTCAGTTTTCATAAATAAATATCCAATATCTCATTCCCATTCTTAGATTAGATTTTTGTATATTCTACTCACTCCTGCTTAAGACATTATATCCCATTATTATTTCTTCATTCATTAAAATAACTAGTAAATTCAAAATTGCAAAAAAAAAATACTTTGGAAGAGACTAATTCAACTCAGATATTAGAAAAAAGTAAACTGGTAAACTTCTCTTTTTTACTTATATCTGTCTGTGGTTAGATTTCTAGCTTTAAGATTGTTTAATTCATGTTTAGATGCAGAAGGATAGTCAAGCTGATTAAAATTTTGAGTCAATAACTTTAACTTTTACTTTTCATTTAAGTAATTTTAAATGTATTAAATTGTTCAGATGTTGTAAAGCCAGTTGTATTTGTTATAGAATTTCAGTTTTCCGTATTTTGAGTTGTGCATCATCCTGAAGGCTAAGAGTAATTAATTACGATTGTCATTGTCCAAAATTGATCTAATCAGGGCAGAATGGTGCGACATTCAAAGGAGATTTCATTTCTTCTTTGAACTCATGAATGATGATATAATCTAAATGTTATTTATAATCCTTTTCAAAAAAACAAAATTCAAATTTATCTTAGAATTTCATTTTACGAAAATGGTATTTTATTTATACAAACTCGTATGCTTTCTTTAGGCAATTAGAATTACATTTTAAATACATTTTAGTATGGCTTGGAATATGTAGTAAGTAAATATAAAGCAATAAATAGTTTTACTTTGATGTGATCATTTCACATTTGTGTGTATAGAATATTAATGTACATTTAGAGTGGTTAAACATATTTTTAAAACTATTTTTGAATACTGGTTGTAAATATGTGGAAGGTAAGGAATACTTATTCTCTATATTTCTTATTCTCTGTGTTTCCTAGAGACTACCATTTTGTCATGTAAATAAATATTGTTTTTAAAAATTTGCGACTATTGGTAGTTTTTAACTGTAAGAACTCAGTACTTTAAGAATATTAATTATTCATTATATCTGATGTGAAATATTTCCTCAAGTTTTTATCTGTAAATGTTTATTTTTACTTTTCAAACTACTGAAATGTGTAAAAGGAAATGTATAAAAGGAAAGTAAACATTGACCACAATATAGCATTTCCAGAGATAGCAAATTTTATTTTATTCTACATTTTCAGACGTTTATTCTTTTATGCATACAATCATATATAAATATATACACACATACACACACATATTTATTCAACATAATTTTTCATAGCTTGCCTTTTTCACTCAAAAAAGTGTGGCTATCTTTTTATGTCCATAAATATAAATCTATATCAGTGCTTACAATACAATAAAAAATTTTAATCATATTATTTATACCAAATGTATTTAATCAAATAATTTTGCTAAATATGTATGTTATATACTTTCAATTTGATAACTATAAACTTATGGATATATATCTTTGCATCCAGTCTTTCAATGTTTTATGAAAATACATTTCTAAAATTTGAATTGCTGAATCAAAGGTAATGTCATTAAATTTATTAGACATATATTCAAAAGGAGTATTTCTAAAAGGCTGTACAAATTTATATGCACGTGGACATTGTATATAATTCTCAACACCCTCACACTCAAAAACCTTGTGTATTATAATTTATTTTCTTCTTTCAAGACATAATAGAATAAATATCAATTTAATTTTAATTTATAAATGTGATCGACAATGAAGTTATGCATTATTTTCATTTTTTTCACTTGTGTGTTTATTTTAAATTTTTTGTTGATACCATTCATGTCAATGCAATTTTTAATTGGTATTCAATTGCATTATATTATTTATTAGAAATCATCCTGTAGAAATTTTTCAACATTTTATTATGAAAATTTCAAATGTGCAGTGAAAGCCAGTATGGTGACTCATGCCTGTAATCTCAGCAATTTGGGAGGCCAAGGCAGGAGGATTGCTTGAGTCCAGGAGTTCAAGACCAGCCTGGGAAAAATAGTGAGACCCCCGTCTCTACAAAAAAAAAAAAAAATAGCTGGGCATGGTCGGCCATATGTTTAGTCCCAACTATTCAGGAAACTAAGGTGGGAGACTAGCTTAAGCCTGGGAAATTGAGGCTGCAGTGAGTCATGATTGTGCCACTGCACTCCAGCCTATGTGACAGAGCAAGACCCTGTCTCAAAAAAAAAAAAAAAAAAAGGGGGCAGTGAATTTAAAGGTCTTTTACAATGAACATCATTGATCTACCACCTAGATTCTAACACTAATATTTATTTAAACTCGTGGCACAAACAATCCATATTTCCTTCATCCTATCCATACATTATTCTACCTTATTTTTGGATGCAATTTAAAATACTTTGCAGGAATCAGCGTACTTTCGCTTAAATACCTTATTATTACTATCATTAACTAGAGTTCAAATTTATTTATTTTAATGTAAAATTTACATATAATAAAATGCACAAACCTTAAGTGTACATTCCAAATTTTGACAAATATATAAACATGTATAACCTACACCTTGGTATTTTAGTACTCATGTGGATAGTTTGTATTTCATGGCTTTACTTTTCCCTTTTCTCTTTTGAACTCTTTAATGTGTTTCCATGTGAATTTTTAAACGTAATTAATCGTGTGAATTTTCCCTTTTATGTATTCTGGGTTTTGAGTCTTCCCTAGAATTGCCCGCACATCAACATTGTAAAATTACTTATTATTAGTCTTCTGGTATCTAATTCAAATGTGATCGGAAGTTGAATGAAATTCCTCCTGTTTTATAGCAAAGTTGAGAGAAATAATAAATAATTACCAACATCAACTCCCTCCCATATTTAAAAAAGAGGGCAGAACAAACACATTGTTCATGAGTATTAATCAAAACAGAGCTAATTCCAACCAAACTATGTAAGAGAAAACTGGAAATCTCCTGGTATTTGTTGAGAGGAGACTTTGAGGACATAATAAGTCAGTATTCCTATTTTTTCCGCATCTATTGCTTAAAAAGTACAGTTTGAAAATAATTCACATATAAGTACCTGAAAAGAAAAAAGAAGTCATTCAAATCAAGGAAAAAAATCTAAAACATGAACAAAGATAAAGTTTACAGGTAACATTCTGTATGACAATTTTTCTACTTGCTGTTTGAAACAAACAAAAAAAACATGAGCAGTTTTATTTTTAAATGTGAAAAATCAAGGAAGTACCCCAAACAATCATAACCTGCTAGTATAATTTATACAACAGGTTATGCTCAGAAATTTCTTTGAAAGCACTGAGGGAAAAAAAGGAATAGAAACCTAAAATGTTTTTGTCTTATTTAAAAGATTTTTCATAATGCTCATTAAGAAAGCTCTGGGGTTTACAAAAAACAGATAATAAAGCTCAAGTTTAAAATGAACAGAAGAGTACTTATGTAGGACCTCTTCAGTGTGATATGTATTATAAAGTGTTTCCAGGTTAATGTATTAAGCTTCTATTATTTTCATTTCAAAATAGATTGCCTTCTCAGGTAACAGGGGGTTCAAAGAAATATTAATAGATGGAATTATAAAACTATCTTTCTTCAGAAAAAATGTAAGCAATTTATGAAGGCAAATTGTAGTTTTCATTCACCAAAGTTAGGACCTCATACACCTTACAGAGATATTATCCCAATTGACAAATGACCATCATTCACTTCTAAATCTCAAGTCCATGGTCCATTACTCTGTGAATCTTTTTTGTTTTTGAATATAGTTAGAATTCACCTCTCTTTCATTGGTGATCCACTTACCCATTGCCAATTACACTAGGATTCCTGTAGCTCTAAGTTATATGCATGTGTTTATTTGTCTGTCTCTTTCAGATGGGCTGTGAGCCTCTAAAGCAGGAAGTGGTGTATCATTCTGTTATTTGAACTTTAGAGTCTTGAATGCTACTTATTCTTTGAATAGATAAGGGACTTAAATACAGGAATGGAAAAGAAGATTATTTAGAGTATTTGTATCAAGTGTATCCACATTTCTGAATCTCAGTTACTATCACCCTAAACCCAATCAAAACCATCCCTTACCGAACCTGCTTCAATGCTTACAATCAGTCTACTACTTTACCTTAGTCATTCTCCTAAATATTTGAGTGGAGCAAAGGCTACTCTGACAGACTGTTAGGACAACAAATGTAAATTAAAACTGTCTTAGGCAAACTTAAAAGTGTGTCACGCCATGGAGTTATCACTTCAAAAAGGCTTCCCTGTCTCTTCCCTACAATGGGCCTTCACACATTATTCTGTATCACATCACTCTTTCATTCAGATATTTACAACCTGTGCTTCCCCTGTTGACTTGTGTGAAGAAGAGTTTACTGCCTGCTTAACCACAAACTGCAAATGTCACAAAAATAGTTTTTGTCTTTTTTATTTAATATACAAAACATGAGCACAAGTACCACAAAGGCCAGCATTTAGAATGTTTTTGTTTATTCATGTGTTCTTGCTTCCAAGAACAGTGTCTGGCATATTTCAAAGCTCAATAAATATTTGTGGAAAGAATGGATAAATATTTTTCCATAGCATAAGATGCATGTGGAGAAAACATTTGTGGAATTATACATTATTTAATTCATTAATGTTTATGTTTATTTAAAAGCCTCAACTAATCAAATTTAGTAAAAAATTAAATTTCATGAGCAAAACATGTTTTTATAACTCAACTTGAGCTTGTGTTATACATTTTTACATGTATTACATGTGTTTCTATTATAACCCAATAACTTTAATGATGAGAGTTCTAAACTATAGTTTCACATTTATAATTTATACTAGTAGACATACTTTTGTGTACATCTTGTTGAATCAGTGACTCACTACTTAATTTTAAGTTTTGGAGGAATGGAAAATATAAAACATTGACAAGATACTTTAAATTGTTGAACTTCCCCAAGAAACATGTAATTATATCCTTAAAAATATCCATTCAATTTGATAACAAAATTATGCATCCACACTGCGAAAGACCCAGACCAATGAGAAATTAGATATCTGGATGTTTTTGTCATGCTTTGTTACATAGGCTGTAACAATAAAGCTATTTTTATTTTCTTCATACCAACATTATAAGCCCACTATGAAAGCAAAATACAACAGATAAATAGGTATTTGTGTTTAATTAACCAAAAATTTGAAACTAATTATATGTTTTGATATTTCTATTTACAAAGTTTAAAAACTGCCACTATTTCCCACACTATTATTCTCAAAGTTGGCATGTTATTACTTTTAATTGGTCAAGAAAGAAAAATGTCTCACACTTGACATTTTCCCACAAATTCACTTCTTGAAACAGCTGCAGTTTTACTAATCTGTGTTTCGAGAAAAATTAACAAGCAGTTCTATTTTTATTTCATGGAGAAATTCATTTTGAGCTATTATTCCATCTTAGATCTCTAGTATTTGATAGGCTTACAGTGGAAAAGGTTAATATTGTTTTCTGGATAGAATTAGCATCCATCAGATGCATTGATTGACAGGACCCATTTCTTATTATCGATATTTTGAGATATTCACAAAAATCACTGCAAGAGGCAGAATAAACTGTTCTCTTATTGGTGCTGGTATCTCTGTGGGGGAAAAAAAAGCATAATTGACTGTAGCCATGGGGATTCAGACAATTGTATGGGGACTGATAAGAGGGATTTATACAAGGTTTCATATTTCTAATCTCATATGGTTTCTTTGTAGACATTATTAGACTTATTGTTTTGCTATTGTTATAATTTTTTCCAGATGAAAAGATATGGCTAATGTATGTTCCTATGGAATTAAAACTACTCTCAAATTAACCTTAATGTATTTAATCTTAATGTATTTAGGCTATGCTTGAAAGGAAAGCACTAATAAACTTGCTTCCATGAAACAATATAAATGCCCCTATGTAAGCTACCTAATTTTAAACTGGAGTATGAATCTATAAATTCTGCATTACTTAACTTTAGTATTCATAATAAGCAACGTGTATTTAGATATATTTTGAATCTATCATGATACATAAATGATAGTTTTAAAAGGAAATAATAACTCATATAAAGAAATAGACATGGAAACTAAGTGACATGAGTTGTACTAAAATCCCAGTATCATTGTTTTCTTTGCAAAACAGATATACTGACGGCTTACCTAAAACAATAGGGAAAGGAATTCCATAGAATAGCCCATGAGGGTAGATAGTACTACCGAGAAAATTGCCACTTTTGTTTTGATTACTATGTGTCCTATATATATCTTTGTCAAAGTCATATTTTAGAAACAAATTTCATGCAACTAACATAATTATATAACTACTAAAAATTTTTATGTTTTAATTTTGAAATCAGAGGTACAATTTCAATACACAGTACTTATTTTCCTGATTGGGATTTGGCGGTACCACAAAATGCACGTAAATTACCAGGAACTTGTTTTCGTGTTCACGAGGGGACATTATGCTTTCATCATTTGCATTTCTGAGTACCTCCCTATGTTGTTGTATAGCTTTCATTTGCTTGAGAATAAGGATGGAGGGAATATAAAGATGATGTCAGAGATAATACTTAATAGTTGACATTTAATTTAGGATTATATAAGAATATAAGAGCCATCCTTATCCATGAGGTATGTTACATATATTGAAGGAATAACAATGAGGAGAAAACTCTTGCCCATAGTCCAGGAGTCTGGGATGAGGTTCTTCTTGAAGGTTTACTTGAATCACTAGGGGCTCAGCTATAATTACTTAGCAATGCAACAGGTCAGGGAGAAAAGGCCCTATGTTGTAGCCTTTTGGAACCACCCTGGGTTCCAGAGTTACAATAGGACTCAGAATTTACCAAGAGGCTGCTGGGAGAACTGTATGAAGTCAGAGGTCTTTGCACAAAAGGTTAGGAATCACTACCTGCTATCCCCAGATGAAGGAAAATGAAATTATAGTGAGAGCTCATAAGTGACAGGTGCAGTGGAAGCTGAGGTGAACCTTCCACTTGATGAAGATCACTTGATCACATGATCACTTTTACATGCTTTCTAAGCTGAGAGACTCACACTCGATACAGAATCAGCAGTGATCACTAGCAGATGTCAACAGCACATAACCAATTCTGTGCCAACAGCACATAACCAATTCTTTGGAAACCGTAGAAATCTGAGGACATAGCACTCAAGGTATTTGTTTGTTTGCTTCCCCTACCACCATGAAACCTTATAAAATAAGTTCCATTTATCCCCCCAACCCCTTCCCTATGAATAGGCACTATCTTAAGGAGACAAAAACTAAGAAGGAAAGGTGTCTGGGAGACTAAACATTTTTACCTAGAAGACACTGTATATCTATCTACATTGGACTAAATTTTTATCTGAATAAACATTTCATATTTTTTAATGCTAAAAATGGGTAGAATCTTCTAAATTTAATAGAAACATAAAATTTATATTTTTCTGAACATCTAGTAATAAGAGCTGTTCTTTTAAACCTGCTATAAACAACAGAGTTTGAATCATTAAGTTCACAAAGATGGATCAAGGACCAGGGGCATCTACAAGTCAATGAAGTAAGAGAAAAAGATAATACAAAGTCTTGGACCTGACGGTTGGGATAGCAAGATGAAGAACATAACCTCTGTGAATCTTCTGGATCAGCCAATAGAGATAAATGTGGGCCCAAACTCACATAAAAATAAACAAGCAAAGGAAGAAATCCTCTGGGTCCATGTGTTTCCAAATGGAGAGTCCAGAAGAGATATACAGTTTACCGTTGAACAACATGGTTTGAACTAGGCAGATCCATTTATATGCAGATTTTTTTCAATAATTACAGTTGGCCATCACTATAGGTGGGTTCCTCATTCACATTCATCTGCCAAAATCAGATAGAAACATAGTATTTGCAGGAAGCTAAATCCGCATATATGGAAGGCCAACATTTTTTGTCCATGATTTCCACAAGGCTGACTGCGGGACTTGAGTATGCATGGATTTTGGTATATGCGGGCAGTCCTGAACCCAATCCCCTGAGGATACTGAGGGATGATTGTATAGATATAGATATATAAATATAGATATAGATATATACACCACACACCTGTTCTAAGTGATGCATGTATTAATACACTCAATTTAAGTGATGACCCTAACTCATACTATTACTACTCCCTTTGATTACAGTTGTGGAAAATGAGGCAAAGAGGTTAAATAATACGTTCAAGGATAAAGACTTAGTAAGTGACAGAGCGAAAATTTGAACTGAGATAGTTTGGCTCCAGCTACTGTGTCCTGACTACCATAACACTATTTCTCTTGCTCCAGATTTTGGTCCAATGGACAATGTACTGGAAAGCCTGTAGTCTACTCAAGTATGGAACAGAAACCAGGATGTAATTTCCACAAAGGAGCTCTGAGAAACAGCTGAGATATAATTTAAAATTTCTCTGAAATAAAGTATGTTGGCAAATGGAGTAAAAAAGGTATATATGAATTATGTTTTTGGTGAGCTATCCAGATCATTCTGCTGCATGTAGGCAACACATCAATGCAGATATTGTGTGATTACTTGGTTCATATGCTTTGTTTGATTGGCTATACTCCAGGTGATGCTGGATGGCATAAATATTGGTTAAAAATCATTGAATTATATCTTCAAGAAGTAGCCTAAAGTTATTCTCTCTGTGTGTGCCCTTAGAAAATCCAAAACTCATTGAAAATAGTATATCAGTTTTCCTGATAAAAGAGAAAAAAAAGAAGGAAGTACTAAATACCAGGAGAGAAAAGTTTTTGTTTTTTTTTTTGGGGGGGGGGTGGGTGGGGAGGAGGGTCTTCTCAATAACAGAAATCTATTACTACCACCCTGTGGTAGAAAATTTTGCATTTAGCAGTGAGGACTTAAAAATAGAGTTTGTTTGTTTGTTTGTTTGTTTTGTTTTGTTTTGTTTTTGTTTTGACAAGGTTTCGTTCTGTTGCCAGGTTTAGAGTGCAGTGGCCGGATCACAGCTCACTGCAGCCTTGACTTCCCAGGCTCAAATGATCCTCCCACCTCAGCTTCCTGAGCAGCTGAGACTACAGGTGCATGCCACCATGTCCAGTTAACTTTTTTATTTCAGTTGAGACAGGGTTTTCCCATGTTGCCCATGCTGGTTTCGAACTACTGAGCTCGAGTGATCTGCCCGCCTTGACCTCCCAAAGTATTGGGATTACAGGTGTGAGCCACTGCGCTTGGCCATTTTTGCCAGTCTATGATTATTTCAGTACCTTCCACCTGAATGGAAGCTGCACAGATACCAGCTTTCAAGGAACCTAAATAAGGTCTTGGATAATGTTGATATTAGCCGCAGTCATGACAGATTATTCTTGAGTGGAGGGTCCTTCCTTTGATCCTGTGTGCTGTTATAGAAGCCTCCAGACTTCTGAAGTGACCTTGCATTGAGATGCTGGTAGAAAGATGAAGAGAAATAAATCATTATTTGATGCAAGGCTACAATTGAAAATAATATATGCATGTAGCTAATACTTTCCAACTTACAGTTTGGGGGTGTCTATCCATTCATTCATCAGTAATTTCTTAGTAAAAGCCTGCACTGTCAGTACTGTACTTAGTACTGGGAGTACACTGGGAGTGGCTAAAGGTGGTTCCTGCTTTCTTGTAGCTTACTGTGAACTCTTTGAATTATGATACTTAAGAGTGTTCCTCATTTATTGTTCCATGGAACATTACTCTGGGCGAGGCTAATTGTTTAGCCTTCACAAAAATCTCAATGCTCAAATGAAGGTAGGAAATGCTGTTTCTTGGTTCACTCTTAGAGATTAATCGTGCGTATTAGTAATTTAAAGCACAGGAGAGCCCTACAATTAACAAGCCTGTCTAACCAGCATTTTTTTCTCAAACTTATTTGAGCAGGAATCATTTTTAAAAATATTATAACTGCTTATATATTATTAGGTAAAATACCAGTTTGGGATGCAGTGGTCTCTAATATAATGTTCATATGCATTAGTATGTTTTGAACTTCTGATCCTTTGTGAATCTGTATCAAATTTGAGTTACTTCGGTTCTCTGGCTTCTCTCTTTGTTGAAAGCAGAAGCTCATCATTCTAATGATGTCCTTGAAGGACTATCATTTCCCTAATTAATGACTTGGTTCTGTTAGAACTACTGAAACAAAAATCTTATCATCCCACTAAATACTTAGAATAAGATATTAACAATGCTTTTTCATCCATATCAATTTTAAATGCTTTGTTATCCAAATCAATTTTTATAATTGTAATGAATATTTCTAGTTTTATAAATAAAAAGTAAGAAAATGATGTACCATTCCTTATTTTTTTGTGGAAAGCCTACTGACATATTTGGCATTAATAAGGAGAATTATCAAGCACCTTTACTTAAAAAAAAAAATTCTTCCTGCATTTAACCTAGAATATGCTGTGGAGAATTGGTCTGTGACAGAAGCCTCACTGTACATGAAAACCAGTAATTCATAGTGCCTGCTCCTGTCTTTCATTTCAGGATTCATATTGGTCACATTTTTGTTATCTGCACATATGTTGCATTTACATAAAAATCACATCTTTCCCAATATTCAGTAATGTAGGCCTTTGTTTTTATTTGGTTCTAGCTGCATACATATCTATCTGTTTGAAGTTTATGTGAAGATTCCAAAATGAATTCACATATATCACATAACCAAAATATAATTATTAGTTATCTATTGCTGCATAAAAATTTATCCCCAAATGAAGTGTCTTAAGAAAAAACTTATCTCACAATTGTGAATGTAGTTCAGTTTTGTTCCTCTGGCTCAAGGTCTCTAAGGACACCGAAGTGAATCAGCTTATCCAAGATGTTATTTAGCCACAGTCATCTTAAAGCTGAATTGGAAGATAATCCACCCCAAAACTTGTCAAAGGGACTGACAGTAGGCCTCAAAAGACGCTCTTTCACACTCACTCATGTAGCTATAGGCAGGCCTCAGAATTTTACCGGCTGTTGATGAGAGATATCAATTCATCTTCAGATGGACCTCTCTCCTCATAGGGGTGCTCGCAATAGGCTGTTTTTCCACTGAGATAGGGGGTTGAAGAGAGAAATAGCAACACTCAGAGCTCAAGGCTGAAGATACTTTCTTTTTATAACTTAATCTCAAAAGTAATATCCCATTATTTCTGATATTTTCCATTCATTAAAAACAAGTCTTTAAATCCAATCCAGACTCAACAGTAGGAATACCAAGAGTCAGAGATCATTGGCGGTCACCTTAGAAGCTGCCTACCACACCCATATTCTGTATTTGGTGAAAAGACAGTGATGTCGCAATTCTAGACTGTTTTCTCTCTTACATTTCCCAAAGAGATAAACCGTTATTTAACTAAACTGATTTTTTTTTTTTTGAGATAAAAGAGCTGTTTTATTGACGCTTTATGTCCTAGGTATTTTACATGCATTAACTCCTTAGATTCCAAATGGTCCTGTGAAGTAAGTACCATTATCTGAATTTACAGATAAGGAAAGTGAAGCTTGTGGAGGTCATTGGCTTAAGGTTATGTGAATGATGGATTTTTTTTTTTTTTAATTATACTTTAAGTTCTAGGGTACATGTGCACAACGTGCAGGTTTGTTACATATGTATACATGTTCCATGTTGGTGTGCTGCACCCATTAACTTGTCATTTACATTAGGTATATCTCCTAATGCTATCCCTCCCCTGTCCACCTACCACACAACAGGACCCAGTGTGTGATATTCCCCTTGCTGTGTCCATGTGTTCTCATTGTTCAGTTCCCACCTATGAGTGAGAACATGTGGTGTTTGGTTTTTTGTTCTTGCGATAGTTTGCTGAGAATGATGGTTTCCAGCTTCATCCATGTCCCTACAAAGGACATGAACTCATCGTTTTTTTATGGCTGAATAGTATTCCATGGTGTATATGTGCCACATTTTCTTAATCCAGTTTATCAAACTATACTACAAGGCTACACTAACCAAAACAGCATGGTACTGGTACCAAAACAGAGATACAGACCAATGGAACAGAACAGAGCCCTCAGAAATAATACCACACATCTACAACCACCTGATCTTTGGCAAACCTGACCAAAACAAGAAATGGGGAAAGGATTCCCTATTTAATAAATGGTGCTGGGAAAACTGGCTAGCCATATGTAGAAAGCTGAAACTGGATCCCTTCCTTACACCTTATACAAAAATTAGTTCAAGATGGATTAAAGACTTAAATGTTAGACCTAAAACCATAAAAACCCTAGAAGAAAACCTAGGCAATACCATTCAGGACATAGGCATGGGCAAGGACTTCATGTCTAAAACACCAAAAGCAATGGCAACAAAAGCCAAAGTTGACAAAGGGAATCTAATTAAACCAAAGAGCTTCTGCACAGCAAAAGAAACTACCATCAGAATGAACAGGCAACCTACAGAATGGGAGAAAATTTTTGCAATCTACTCATCTGATAAACTGATATTTTTTAAGAACGTCAGGCTAAGAGATATTAAATAAGACAGACACAAATATATATAAAAAAAGGAAAATGTCTCTACTGCAAAGTAATGTAACTAAGTTTGAATCATAGATATACAAATTCAATTTAATTCAATTCAGTAAATAATAGTTTACTACTGTTTGAGAAAACTATTATTAAATCCTGTACAGGATACAAAATGAAAAAGAAAAACGCCATGGTTTTAACTATGGGTTTTTGTTCAGGCTCATCTGCTTATTGGTTGGGTGACTGAAACAAGTTGCTTACAGCAATAAGTGTTCTCATCTCACAGGGATATTGTGAGGTGAAAATGAAATAAAGCATATACAACCATGTAACTATGTAAAGTTCTTAGCATTATGCCTAGCACATGGTAATCACACAGTAAATAATAATAATAATGATCATAATGATAATAGTAAAGTAAGCAATAACCTAACACTTGCCAGAGCTGTTCTAATTGCTATATAACTATCAACTCATTATTTTGTTATTATTAGTGAAGCACCATGCTGCTCTGGGGTTGTATCATGTCTATGCTACCTAACAGCTGACTGATTTTTAGTCAAGTTATTTGACCTTCTCTATGCTCCAAGTTCCTTGTTTGTGAAATGAAGATAGCAATAGTGCTGTAGACTCAGTATTGGAAAAGTTTTTTGGAACAATACCTGGTACATTCTATGTGTTAATTAATTTTTAATGCAAAATATTATTGCATTATAATTATAAAGTAAAATAATCATAATACCTGACAGAAACACTTCCTAAAGAGAAGGACAAAATATAATTAGAGTACTAATGACCTCTTTGTAAGGTATATGGGGAGAATAAAAAAATAATATCGTGGGAAATACATGAATTTGCTATGGGAGAGTAAGTAGAAAAATTGAATTTTAAGAATAGACTTTATTTGTTTAGGTTTCTTACCTCTTAAGAGTAGTTTTCAATAGTGTATGCATATGAGAGACACCTTGAAACTTTTCAAACTCTAAACATTCTGGCCCCATCCAATTATAACTTAAATGTTCTGAGGTGGGCTGTCAGCTTTCATGTATTTACTATTTCAAGGTGATTCTAATATGTAGTGGTATTAAAAGCCCATGCCCTAAGGCATTGATTTTCAACTCTTAGCTTGCACCAGTTTCGCCCGAAGTATCAGAAGAAAAACAGAGAAGTAATAAAATATTATAGAGAAGCAAAAAGTCTCCATTTGATCTTCTAATATGAATAATATTTTGTTTCTGAAGAATATGGTTTTTTCCATTTATGTTTAACAAATGTCCTATACTACTCAACTATGTAAAGATAGCTGAATAGGAGTTTGTTTTAAAAGACAGTTTTGGAAAGACAGATGACATTTATGTCTAGAAATGTTACATAAGAATTTCTTAATAAGGTGCATCTTTAATGGTTACGCATCAGAGACCAAAAACAAAGGATTTACTGGACTGTACATTGAAATAATTTATGCTCTTCCCTAGCCCACCTAGGGGTAATGCTGAATTATTAGTGATTTATTTACATATTATCTTCAACATTGACTCCTATTGCTGGAGTTACTGGAAACAGGAGGCAGAATTAAAGATGGTTCTCATGCTGTTGTCCATAATGTTGTGCTATGTGGTAGAGAAGGATGCTACGTGCAGGAATCACAAAAGAATAAAGCCAATGTTAAGTTTCATTCATTTTAATTATAAACATGTTGTACTGCTCAATGACATTAGGAAAGGGATTTTAATAAAACCAACCATTCTTCTTAGTTTTATTTCTCCTGCTCCCACAGATAAATTTTAAGGATATGTGTAGTTTAATTTTAAACTGTGTTTAATGCAATGAAGTAGTGGTGCATCATGGCAGGGCCTCAAGCATTTGAGTTAAGCTCCTTTTTTAGAACTGGATACCTAGTTATGACTATAGTTTCCTCATGTCTAAATGAGAATAGTGGCGTTTACCCCTCTGGGTGGTTGTGAGGGTTACATAAGATAGCATATGTCAATCACTTATCCTATACCTGCTCATGATAAATGTTAGCTGTGAGTTTTGTTGTTATCTTCATCCTGTATTTCAGTTGTTTATTTATTTCAAGTAAATAAAATGCAATAAAACAGGAAACTTTGAAATATAGTAATAAAATATCTGTTTCATAAAAGTTACCAGATGTTAAATATTAAAACTTGAATTCAATGCATAATTTGTAAATATCTAACATATATAAAATTCAGTTATATACTATATTATAATTTGGCAACTTCTAACTTAACTAAATCCAAAATTAATCAATCAAATTAAGTTGCCTTTTACTCTGAATGCTGTTAGAATAATTGATAAAGGCTTTTTTTAAAGTTATGAAAATGTTCATTTTTTAGAAAACTTTAAATTAACTATGAAAAGTGAAAGCTATAGAATAGAAATGTGTTTTGAAAAAATGATCAAAATTAGTGAATATTAAGATGAACATACAAATTGATACAATGATGCTAAGTATGATTAGCCTAGAAATACCATTTTCAAAATAGTTGATTATAAGTTACTGCAGTTATCCATCACATGCTTTTGTGTATCTATTATGTTCTCATCATAGCACTGTGCTTGCCTGTGACAAGATATGTCAGAGATAATGACACATGGTGCTTGTCTTTAGGTAGCATATGGCTTAATGGTGGATACAGAAATGCCTTATTAAATATAAAAAATAATTTAATTTTCAATTTTGTTAAGAATAAAAAGAGTTAAGAATGCAAATTATGAGAGAGTATATAAGTCCAGGACCCAGAGGTTTTCCAACGCAAAGGCATGTCAAGTGATAGCTGAAGAATCAGTAGTACATAACCAGGCAAAAATCAGGGGAAAGATTATTCCAGACAGAGAGAATGGTGACATGCATATAATGTGTGGGTGAATATAACAAAAGAGGTTAAATTAGTAAATTCAGAAGAAATTTTTGCATTATTAGGAGCTTCAAAAAGTGAGTCAGAGATTTAGTCTAAAAAGGCAAGAAAATAAACCAAGAACTAGAAAGAGAAAGAGAAAAGATAATATCTAGAACTATGAAATGGGTTGTTTTCTTTTAAATGTATTGTGTTTACTGTAATTCCAAGGACCTTCCCAATATGTTCCTTACATTATGGAAAGGCATTATGAGAAACACACACAGGCACACACATATATATACACATACACACACACACACAGATTAAGTATATAGTAAGTAGCTACTTGGGAGGCTGAGGGGGGAGGATTGATTGAGATGGAGTCAGGGCTGCAATAAGCTGTGATGGCACCACTGTATTCCAGCCTGGGTGACAGAGTGAGACCCTGTCTCAAAACAAGCAAACAAACCACTGTAAAATACCATCTCACCTCACCTTCAATGGCTATTATCAAAAGACAAAAAATAACAAATGTTGGAGAGGCCATGTGGTGAGAAAGGGGAACCTTCACACACTGTTGGTGGGAATGTAAATTAGTGCAGCCATTTTGGAAAAAAGTATGGAGATCCCTCAAATAATTAAAAATTGAACTTTAGTATGATATAGCAATCCCAGCACTGGGTATATATTCACAGGAAATGAAATAAATATGATGAAGAAATATCTGAACTCTTATGTTTATTGTAGCACTATTCACAATAGCCAAGTTATGGAATCTAAGTGTCCATCAACTGAAGAATGGATAAAAAAAAAAAGTGGTATATTTACCCAATGTAATATTATGCAGCCATAAAAAAAAAACATTAAAATTCTGTTTTTTGAGGCAACACGAAATTGCCTGGAGGACAATATGTTAAGTGAAACAAGCCAGGCATAGAAAGACAAATACCACGTGATCTCATAAACGGAATCTTCAAAAGTTGATCTTCTAGAAGTAAAGAGTAGAATAGTTGCTAGCAGAGGCCTAGAGGGATTTGGGAGTGGGGGAATAAGAAGTTGTCCAGTGGGTACAAAGTTACAGTGAGATAGCAAGAATAATGTTTAGTGTTCTGTTGTACAGTCAAGTGACTATAGTTAACAATAATATAGTGTATATTTTTAAATAGGTAGAAAAGAGAATTTGGAATGTTCTCACCACAAAGAAATGATAAATATTTGAGGTTATAGATATGCTAGTTACCCTAATAATTACATATTTTATACATGTATTGAAACATCACACTGTATCCCATAAATATGTATAAATATTACGTGTCAGTTAAAAATTTAAAAAGAAAAAGTTTTGTGTTGATATGTCTATGTGTATTGTAGGCAGCAGGATATTCTGCTTCAGGTTGATGGAGCCTCTACCATCTGTTGCACATTGCTTCATTGGGTACTGTGGTAGTGGAAGAAAGAACTAGAAGGTTCCATGCTACCCTTTCCTGGCTTTTGCCTATAATTGACACTCATCTTGCTACATCTTCAGAATCATTTTACAATTACACTTAATATTAAAGTGGAATTGTGGGAAAACACATAGAATTTTATTAAGCACTAAGGTCTCTAGTATTGTGCTGTAATCCTTTCTTTCTTTCTTATATGCTTTAAAAATGTCCAACGCGTTCATTTTGCCAATGGTTTTGCTTTCAGCATATGATTTTTTAAATTATAAAGATATATTTAACAATTGTAGACATTATAAAGACATATTTAACAATTATAGAAATAATTGATTTCAGAAGTAACACATTAATAAACATTAAGCCGAAGTTAAAACATAGGCCATTATCACCCCCCAAAACCTTTAACATTTATTTCTAATACATTAGAAAATAGAAATGTCAGGAAAATGGTAAAATGCTACATTCAGAGAAAGTGTTTTTTCTTAGCTGAATTATTAGAAATATTAATATGTACTTTTAAGATTTAATTTAATTTTTTTAAGTATACAATCTAGTTTGGTTTTCTAGGCATTCTAGAATGTAGCCAATTTCTAAAAAATAATAATCTGGGCCTTCAATACAGCGATAAGTCCAATTGAAGTTTATATATTGGCTGTTTGAAAAAATTTGCTACGTGAGAGTACAAGCAGAATTCAAGATAAGAATCAACCATTTCTACCTAGAGAGGTAGTGAGTGTGTGTACAAGTGTGTGTACTTAAGTGGGTGTGAGGGTAATCATTAGAAGGAGAAAGTATTTAAAATAGATATTGAAATAGAAGTAAAATTTCAACTGGAGGTAAAGAAGAAAAAGATAATTGCAGACTGACGAAACAGGCTGAAGAAGAGCACTGAGTAAGGATCGTCAAAGAGTCAAATGAGAGGAATTCAAAGCAGTGCACTCTGGCCAGAATGCAACATGCAGAGTGCCTGGTGCTTTAAAGGGTTGGTTGGAAGTAGAGTACAACATACACACAATGCTCTGCTTAGGATCTTGGGATCAGAGAAAAATAGTTTCCATTCAGGGATAGTGACTGTAAGCAAATCCTGGTAGGAAGTCACAGGGCATGAGGAACACACCATTATTCCTTTTGGAAGTTAAGAGGTTACTAGAAATTTGAGTGGTGTGATACAGGAGAAAATAAACTTATCAGGAGGGGAAGAAATGGAAGTAGAAACTTTTAAAGAATGATGACTATTATATAATAGCCTCATTTGGCTTAAAAAGTTAATTTAGGGGTTTCAAAAATATAAAAGTCATTGATTTGCCTCTAAGATCATATATATTTCACTTTTTAAAAAGAAAGCCTGATGTATATATCCTATTAATATATCAAAACTATCCAAATTATATATGATCCCTCTTGAACACATTGGCATGCCATCTGCAGAATGTTAGTTTAGGAGTTATAGAATCCTGCAAGAGACACGTAGTTATGATGAATACTGTTTCATTTATTTTTATACAAATGTGTCAATGTAGCTCTCTGAAAGGCTTCCCAGAGGAGCCCATCCCTTTGCCAAAAATATAGGAATGATCTTTCTTTGAGAAAGTCTCATTATTTTCCTGTGAGTAGGTATTTTTAAGTAAAATTCTGTGTCTAATAATATTATATTTCGAATACAGAGGCACGATATGGACAGGGGGAAGGTTTAGAAATAGTTTAAAAGAGATCAGTGAAGGAAACAGACAGGTAAGTGTGACTGATGCCAATTTGCTGAGACCTCAGAGGCATAAAACTGCTTCTGCCATCTCCACAGTCTTAAGAGGCTCAGCAGATACTCCCCCCGCCACATGACAGGCCCACATCTGGAGATACCTCTAAGGATAAAGTGACATCTCTTTCTTTATGTTAGCCTGTTAGATTTTATATTAATAGTATTTGGCACAATAAGAATATGATTTATGGGAGAAAAAAATCAGTAAAAATGTTAAATGAGGTGGATAGAGGTTTATGACACAGAGGAAAAGAAACACAATACAAAAATATGTGGCAAGAGAATTTATTCAGTGATGGCATGTGATACACAGCAGGAAATTTCATTATCTAATTTCATACTCTCAATTCCCTTTTGGATCAAGGATTTTAGAATTTAATCACTGTCACAAAATTATTCTTCTAAACATCTTTCTAATAGTAAATCTTAATACTATTTCCTCAATCTTCTCTAAGGGGAAAAGTAAACAACCAGCTGGGCACCACCCTCTGAATGATTTATTGTTCAAACTTAAGATAATTATTATTACTCTGCCATCTTTAACTTTGATAATAAAAGCGTAGTAATTTCAAATCTTGGAACTTCATCCACATCTTTTAATTTATGAAACTACAACTATAATAAGTTGGTTATATCTCACACAAATTTATACTTACATTGAACTTTTAAAAATATTATTGCATATGAAAGTGTAATATAATATGCTGTTTTATTTTTGAATGAAGGTTTACAGTTCATCCTTTTATGTTTTCTTTTTAACTCTTAACTCCAAATACTGTTGTCCCAATAGAAAGGGATTTATGTTCGCCTTTCGTGTAAGTCCATTCTCACACTGCCAATGAAGACATACCTGAGACTGAGTATTTATAAAGGAAGGCAGTTTAATTGACTCACAGATCTGCAGGGCTGAAGAGGCCCCAGGAAATTTGCAGTCACGGCAGAAGGGGAAGCAATCACCTCTTTCTTCACATGGCGGCAGGAAGGAGAGAGCTAAGGGAAGGGGGAAGCCCCTTACAAAAACCATCAGATCTCATGAGAACTTTCTCACTATCATGAGAATAGCACTGGGGACATGGCCCCCACGATTCAATTACCTCCCATGGGGTCCCTCTCACGATACCTGGGGATTATGGGAACTACAATTTAAGATGAGATTTGGGTGGGGACACAACTGAACCATATCACCTTTTAACACCATCACATTAAAAGCTTTGTTAGTTCTCTTCGGCTATCTCCAGTAAGTAGTAAGTTGAGCCAAAGGATTATAAAACCAATGATGATAATAGTGTTATACATGGCAGCAAGGATTGTACTATAATCTAAACAGCTGGCTGTTTAGTTTCATGATTAGTCTTATCAAATGTTGCTTAGAGAAACATCTTCTCAATGGTAGCCTAAAATATGGAACATTTAATGCATATACTTCAAGATATTTTATATTTGAACACTCAGATTTTAATAATCTTTGTCTTCTAAGCTTTGGAAATAAAATAAAAGCATGTATTTAGAGTTAAGTGATCCATAACTTGAATTTTAAAAGATGTTTGACATCTAAGAAAAAAAATCGTACTGAAATTACTAAGGCATTTTAGTTGAACAGAAAAAATACATCTAGTTAAAGATAAACTGTCTATCATAGAAATTTTAGTGGCTCTAGATTTAGACTTGCTTGTAATAGAATTGGACAGGGAATGTACACACTACTACTCAATATGTCAATGGGTTTATTTTTTACTTTACAAAATTTCTTTATTCTCTCTAATAACAAATATTTTCCTATCAAAATTATATTTCCTTAACTTTTTAAGTGCAATTCTTATTCTGTGGTGGGCATGAACACACTTCTTTATGCGTTTCATTCTTCGGTTGTTTCAACCTAATTGTCAGTATAAAAAGTATGTTGCTACTCAAATGTTCCACAGTTCTGACAATCAGTTTTGTCTCTAATGGTGAACTTGACAAGAAACAAATGCAGGTATGTTCTACATTTAAAAGTGCTGTCCTAATTCCACAATGGCTACATTCCTTAAGATAGGATACCCTTAATCTCCAGCATCTCAATAGTTGCCCCTTTTGGTTATAAAATTATTCATAGAATTTAATTACCTAAATTTCAATTTTAGTTTTTAATTCTTGTTTTAAATTACTTGACCAAGAGATCAGTGTAAGAGCAGTGCATATTACCATATTAATTTGAAATTATCTACCTTTGTTGTTGTTCTATAAATCCTTCTGTTCAGTTAAAAGCCTCTTCTGAAATTCTCTATGTGTATAGTTACAAGAGAAACTATTTTGATTAAAGTAAAATGAAGAAATTACATCCAACAAGATACCCTCTCTCCCAACCTCTCCTAATGCAGACATTCCTGAAACCATAAAGAAACTGTAGAATTCCCCAAAATGGAGCCTGAAACCACCAAATAAGTGAGTGGCCACATAACATGGAATGTTAAATTAAATATTGATTTTCCTCCTTCTATGAATAGCTAGGTGCACAAGTAATTGCTCTTTTTGCCTTTAAAAGTAATGGTAAAAGCCACAATTACTTTTGCAACAACCTAATAATAAAATATTTTAGTAACAGGCAAATTCATATTGAGTAGTTACTAAACCTTTTAGTATTTTTTTCTATAAGTGAAGCTTTTATTTTAGCTCTTACAACAATAACTGTAAGACTCTCATATAGTTTACTTTTATTAAAATCTTCTATTAATCTTTTCTAGGTAAAACTCATTCATCATTGAAATACAACATACAGTCACATAAATGTAGTCTCATATGCCAGACAACCTTAATATTTGGAAAAGATGTTTAAAATTGTCTTCTCATTATGACAAAGAATGTTATAATATTTCTGCTTCAAAGAGTACACTAAAAACTGTTATTGAAATAATATACTGAATTGCATTGTATTATTTATTTAACATTTTTATATCACTTCAAATTCTTTACATGAATAATAATTCAGTTTATTTTAAAAATATTTTAATGTACATTTTTGATTATTTTAGTTTTAAAATTATCAATATGTGTTTATACCATCTAGATTCATGAATTGAGGATTATTGAAGCAAGTCTTAAATTCCTTCAGTCAGTCACCCATGAAAATGAGCCAGTCTGTTTATTTCTTTTGTTCATTCATTTAAATAAATAATTGTGCTTTGTCAGAGATGAATACATTAGCAATAATCATTCGAAAGAGCTATAACTTTGGTAAATACAGAAAATGATGACATGAAATGGTTTATGTGACTGTTCATACATTTATTTTTAACTGTGTTCCATTTCATGTATTTATATTGGCATTCTTGAATTATCGAATTAATGCTTTATTGTAAGTATTTTCTAATAAATTAGAAAGTATTTTCCTGGTGGTCTTAGTAGTATTTAAAATTTAGAACTTTAGTAAAGCAAATAACAATGGACCACACTTTTATCTTGTAAAATATCCTGCAGAAGCATGAACAGAAACATAAGATACAAATACAGTTTGAACAAAATTGTACTTTTATTGAAATTATAAAATCACAAAGTTTGGAGACAGAGAGATGAAAAATGTTATATATATATATAATATATATAATATTCCCATAGTGCTAACTTCTTAATAGGTTTATAAGTAAATTGTATTTGTGTGTATACATGCATGTGTAAAAGACATATATATTATTCATGCTTTAGAAGTGATTTAAATGGATTATAAAGATATGTATATCATCCATAATATTCATATTATAATTATATAGCAACGTAAGATGTTATTGTAAGACTGGATAAATAAATGCCATAAACTTTGGATGGGGACCTCCACATTGAAAAGTGAAAGATTAGCCTTAGCGTAGTATTTTCAAAGAAAAATGATTCGTTTGAAGGTATTTTATAGAACATTCTGGATAATTCAGTTGGAACTAAAAGTTACTAATTCTTCAAATTTTTGTTTGAAAAAAACCTAATTGGTAAAAAGGCATCTCAGCCCCTTACTCTACCTCATGTTCCCCAATTAACTCTAAAAAACTCATCCTGAAATCCCAGATATAGAAACCATAAATACCGCCTGTTCTAGGGTCTCCTAATGTTGACATTACTCTTTTGGATTGGATAATTTTCTGTTGTGTGGAGTTCTCCTGTTCCATTTTACCTAGTAGATGCCAGTATTGCCAGCCCTAACGCCCTTCCCACTGTTGTGATATAAACAATGTCTTCAACTGTTGCCAAATGTCCCATGGGGATGCAAAATCATCCAGCAAAGAACTGTTGATCTAATACAACCTACCTATTTTCCAGGTAATAAGACTATGATGCAGAAATAGTCCATGAGTTATTAAATTAATGTAGCTAACTAGAGACATAGTATCAAAGATAGATGGCTGGGGTTCTTTTTCAGTTGTGTTTTTCTCTATTTGTCATAGCTGGCTGAAATATATTTCCTATTCACCCTTAGAATTCATCCAGTCAACAAAAGTTTCTGCTTTAATTTTCTGTAGTCTGAAATTTTTTTTTTTTATTTTAAGTAATATGTTCATAAGATATGTTAGGTCATAAGATACATTAAGTAATATGTTCATAAGATATGTTAGGTAGTATGTTAATATGAACATATTAACATTCTGTCAATATCCCTATTTTGTGTAAAACATAAAACCAAATATAATATTGTCCACTCATGTAAACTGTGAATATAAATGCACTTGTATTTTAAAAACAAATAACTTCATTATTTAAAGAAAATAATAGGAAGGTCCAATTGCATCAATTGCTTTCTTAAACAGAGAGCCACTTTAGACCATTATAGGAGCAGGTTCATTTATGAATGTATTAGTTGCTGATTTGTTAGCAGTTGAAGCTTTCCATTTTCCACTTTAAAAAGTGAAGATATTAATGAAAATGGAAACTCAAACTTTTTTTCCCTCCTGTCAGTGACCAGATGGAGTTCAAAGCTATCCAAATGAAATGAGAGTCATAGAATTAAAATATTATTTGTAGTGGAATACCGGCTCGGACTTGCCATTTTGTTTTACTTTTGGCATCCTTAAGGTGTATAAAACACTACAAGAAAACTTCTACCACTTATATAAAGTAATTCTTACTTAACGAAAAGCATAGTAATTGTCTTACTGAAAATGTGACATAAATATACCATTAAACTATCCTCTGCATTTTTATATTTAATATTCTCTATAAAATTCTTCTTACGGCAAATTAGTTTAAGAGAAAACAATATTAAAATAAGTATACTTGAGCCCTCATTTAAAATCTGGAGTATTATAACCTAGATTTTATTCCAGAGCAGAAGGGAATTAAAAAGATTTTACAGCAGTATTATCTAACAATTAGAACAGTACCTTTGAGTTATAGACATGGAATTCAAATTTCTTTTTTTGTCACTTATGTAACTTAAATTAAATTTAAAAATAACTTTTAAAATTGCATTATAGGGATCAATATTACAATCCGCTTGCCATTACTGTGATGAAATGAAATAGTAGTATACCACTATCAGTATATTAGTAACATGAGTGTTAGCTACTATTGTTATAAAGTCATTCCTAGAGTTTGCAAGTAAGATACTAGGCATAAACATTTTAATGTGGTTACATCTTTCAAAAAACAAAACAAAAAATGTCCATAAAATAGGGATAATTATAACATTTCTTAGGTGTATTTCTTTGTCACTTATTACACATGTAATCTGTCATGTTTGTACAGGAGTATTCCAAACTACTTGGTTATGGTATTCTAAATTTGTGAAATCCCTCTGTTGGGATAGGCTAAATGAGTTTATTTATTTCTGTAGAATCATGATGGTGTGTGGATAGTGATGGGGGAGTGTATGGGTTTGTTGAAAGTAAAGAAAGATCATTTTATTTGTTTTCCAATGATAGCAAAATATCATGTAATTCCCTCAGTCAAAAGTACAGATGAGTTTCATCCATTTCTTTGGTTCAGAATGACATGCAGAAATGAATACAGTTGACATGAGAGCTAGCCTTTGTTCTTTGAAAACTAGTCTGCCTAAGCCTCTATAAACAGGACTAAGGGGAAATTTATAAATTCGTTAGACAATCTTAAAACTGAATTTCTATTTATTAAGTTTCCTGGTCCTGACTGTGGGTGATGTCTTAATACATAACTCCAGAAATTCATGAAGTAATATAAAGTATTCCCTATAAATGAAATAACTTCACACCTGCTTTTCCAACAAAACACTGGTAAAAGATCAAATGTTCTCAGAAAGCTTTTATTTATTTATTTATTTATTTATTTATTTATTTGTTGAGATGGAGTCTCACTCTGTCGACCAGGCTGGAGTGCAGTGGCGCCATCTCAGTTCATTGCAACCTCCGCCTCCTGGGTTCAAGCGATTGTCCTGCCTCAGCCTCCCGAGTAGCTGGGATTACAGGTGTGCACCACCATACTTGGCTAATTTATATATATATATATTTTTAGTAGAAACAGGTTTTCACCATGCTATCCAGGCTGGTCTCAAACTCCTCACCTCATGATCTGCTGGCCTCAGCCTCCCAAAGTGCTGGGATGACAGGTGTGAGCCACCATGCCCAGCCAAGCTTTTAGATTTTAAAATCATTTTGAAAAAAATCACCAATAGGAATCACAGTGCACTAAAGACTTGGATGTATACATAATAGAGATATAATGGATTTACCTTGCTACTAATTTTTTTATTTTTACAGATATTTATTTGTCATTTTTATAAATGATTTTCATTATTTACTAATGGGACTAATAAAAGCATGATGTATATACACATTTTTGGTTAGGTGAATATAGGTACTTATTTAAGTATTACAAGGATTTTGGTTAATAAGAGCATCACTAAGGAACTAAGATCATAGAGTTTACATAAAGCAATTAACAGTAACATTAAACATTAGGAGGGATTGTTGTAAAGCAACATTTTTGTTTCCCTCATTGACTGGCACACCAAGTATTGAACATTGGCAATTATTGTGTTTCCCTGGCAAAAATTTTACTTTGACCATTCCTGAGGCCTACTAAGAATAATTCTGGCCATTATAGATGAAAGATATATATTTATTAATAGTTTCTGATTGTATAGAAATAGAGCAAATATAGCATTAATTTTTGTTAAGTGGCTTTTAAAACGTTTGCTGTACAATAAGTCAGTTTTTCTTTCATGTCTCTCCTCCATATCACTTTATAAATCATATATTTGTAAAATTCTTGAACCAGTCCTAGTCTACATGAGCCACTTTTTTCCCCTCTATATTTAATAAAGGATGGGGTGGGTGAAGACGAGTACATGAAATATTACTGATTAGACCCACAGCAAAGTTGCAAAGAAGTCCCACATCAATTTACAGTTTCTTTGATTAAGCCATTAATAACATGTATTAATTTCTAATTATGTTAATAGATAATTCCTTAAGAGATCCATTATGAGAAATTCACTTTTTTAAAAGTTGAAACAAAGTGCCAAAATTACTCATTGCAATTGAATAGATTAAAATATGTCAAATTATATTTAACCACAAAATTCATTAGATGACATTTTAATGCTTACAATTTGAAATACTGGAATATTAATATATTATCTATATTTCAGGCTTACCTTGAGATAAAAAATGGCCTTTAATATCCCTGTCTGGGGGAGACATGACACTTGAAGTTTTAGGATGAAGTATTTAACATTATAAATTTCTGGTTAGAACATTAGCTATATTAAATTGAAATAGTAGCTTTATATAGAACAATGGAATCAAGGTTAAAATTGTATCCAATTATGCATTATGCCATTTTGAATGGACTCTGTCTCATTTCATTTTAATTTTTATACAGATCTATGACATTCAAATAACAGCACAGAGTAAAGTATTAATCATTAATAATTGCTTCAAAGAATGCAATGTGTAGAGTACTTACAAATGCTATTTTATCTATGACTGATTAGTTATATTTTAAGCATTCTACAAAATTAGGTTTTCAATTAAAAGAGAATTCTTACATTTATTGTCCTAAATCTTCTTAGTCTCTCAATTACTTTTGTAATTTGTTGTCTACAAATCTTCCTAATTTCAGGCTAGTAGTTACTAGACCCAATGAGTTCTGTTTGGATTCTAAATCTTGAATAAGCACAGCCATATTTTTAGTAACTTTATTGATCGTATCCTTAATATTTATAGTTGTTTTCTCTCTGAGTTGAATTAACTTTTATTTCAAAGCAATCTTTTCTCCAAATAGAACATTTGCAATTTTACTAAATACACTCCACTTTTGCTGAATTAATCTTGGAATATACTTGTTGATTTTGAATAATATTTTAATGGGCTGTTCCTTCCTGAGGATACAGATATTTTTCTGTGACATTTTTCAAAACCTAACAAAGTACTGATGCATGTGTCTTAGGTCTGTAAAACAAAATTATTGAATTAATTATATTCTGATATATTATTTAGTAAAATGCCATGGTAATGGAGATACTTAATATTTACATGACCATGTAGATACAATAACCCTATTATTTAAATTTTATGTAACTTACCTTTCTGAGTAAATTTCACATTCACATTTAAAAGATGGAAATTACAAAAGAGTAGAGTGAGAAACGTCTCCTTCCCTTTTTTGTCTCCTGGCAATGCAAATTATCTCCCTGGAGACAAGGTTCTACAGACTGAATTTTGCCCTCTCAAAATTCATATGTTGCAACATTTACCCTTAGTGTGACTATATTTGGAGATAGGGCTTTTAGGAGGTAATTAACTTTATGTGAGATTATAACTGTGGGTTTCTAACTCGATAGAATGGGTGACCTTATAAAAAGAAAGAGACAGATTTCTGTGTCTCTGCCTCCATAGCACATACATAGGTAAGGCCACGTGGGGCCTCATGGAGAAGATGGTCATCTGCAAGGAAGAAAGAGAGGCCTCACCAGAACCTCACCGTGCTGGCACCCTGATCTCAAAGTTTCAGCTTCCAGAACTGTGAGAAAATGTATTTCTGTTGTTTAAACCACCCAGTCTATGATATTTTCTTTTGGCAGCCGAGCTGGCTAATACACAAAGACCTTTGCCGTCTCTGATATATATTTCCAGAAATATATTGTAAATATATGTATTTTCTGTACAAATATCAGCATACTGTTTATATTCCCCCTTTTCTTCACTAAAATTATACTTTGGAAATCCTTGTATTTCAATGTCTATAAAGCTGCCTCATATTCAAGTTTCTAAATCTAATATATGTTGTATCTTCTTGATTCTTGTAACTGGCTTATGTTTTTTAAGTACTTGCTATTTTCAAGTATGCTTAAGTTCCCTAAGAAAGGAACAAAAAAACACATGTATACAGGCAAACGAATAATCGTCAAAAGTTTCTCATTAGTCAAAGTTGAGTTGGCCATTAGGTCACTGCCATATTTGAAGAAAACTTAATCCAGTCAGAGCAAAAGTAACTGGACAAAATGTGTTTTCTTTTGTGTGCTGGATTTATTCTTACACAGCTTTGGAAAATAATTTAAACTAGAAACATACTAAACAGTTTTAATTATCTAATTAAATACTGTGTGACCATAAGAGAATGGGGTACGTTGTAATCTTTGTGCTTCTTTAATGCCTCAGTCAATATGCAAGAACATTTTATAAAAGGATTAATAAATTAGTTATAGTCCTCAATTTTTTATGAGGTTATTTTGTTGCAAGATTAAATTAAATATGTGAAAGATGAGTCCAATTTCTTTTCTGTTTTTGTAAATTTAATTTTTAGTTAAGTAAAAATTATGTATATATTTGTGGTATACAACATGTATTGGTATGTGTATAAATTGTGAAATAACTGAACCAAGCTATTTTACCTATGCATTACCTCACACACTTATCATTTTTTTTAATACTGAGAACACTTCAAAATCTATTGCTTTGCAATTTTTAAGTATACAATATATTGTTATTTACTGTGGTCACCATGATGTATAATAGATCTATTATATTTATTTCTCTAACTGAAATTTTGTGTCCTTTGACCAACATCCTCCCAAGAATTCCACCCCAAAGCCTCTCGTAACAACAATTTTACTCTGTTTCTATGAATTTGACTTTTCTAGTTTTCTACGAATTTGACTTTTTTAGTTTTCACATGTAAGTAGGATCATGCAGTATTTGTCTTTCTGTGCCTGGCTTATTTCATTTAACATAATGTACTCTAGGTTCATCCACGTTGTCACAAATGATAGGACTTCCTTCTTTTTAAAGGCTAAGTAGTATTCTATTGTGTGTATATATATATATTTTCATTATCTGTTCATCTGTAGATCTACACTCCTGTTTAATCCATACCTTGACTATTGTGACTAGTGCTGCAAAAAGTGCAGTGTAGACATATCTCTTTGACATACTGATTTCATACTCTTTGGATATATCCCTATTGGTTAGATTCCTGGATCATTTAGTGCTCCTATTTTCAATTTTTTGAGAAACCTCCACACTGTTTTTCATAAGGTCTTTACTAATTTATATTCCAACAGGTGTACAGTTGTTCCCTTTTCTTAACATCCTCTCCAGCAGTTATCTTTCCTCTTTTTATAATAACTATTCTAACAGGCATGAGGTGAGATCTCATTGTGGATTGATTTACATTTCTCTGATGATTAGTAATTTGAGCATTTTTTTCACATACCAACTAGCCATTTGTATGTCTCCTTTTGAGAAATATTTATTCAGGTATTTTGTCCATTTTTTTTTTTTTTAAAACAGGCTTTTATTATTATTAATATTATTGAGTTAAGTTCTTTATATAGTTTGGATATAAAGTCCTTATCAGATGTATGGTTTACTAATATATTCTACAATTTGGTAGACTGCCTCTTCACTGTGTTGATTGTTTCCTTTGCAGTGCAGAAACTTTTTAGTTTAATGTAATCAACTTTGTCTATTTTTGATTTGTTGTCTGTGTCTTTGGGGTTATATCCAAAAACATTATTACCCTGACTAATGTCATGGAGCTTTTCCTCTGTGTTTTTTCCTAGTAGTTGTATAGTTTCATGTCTTATGTTAAAGGCTTTGATTTATTTTGAGTTGATTTTAGATAGAGATGAGAGTCTAACTTCATCCTTTTGCATAGGGATATCCAGTTTTCTCAGTGCCATTTTTTAAAGACTGTCATTTCCTCATTCTGTGTTCTTGGAAATTTTGTCAAAAATAAATTTACCATAAATGCATGGATTTTATTTTTGGAGTTTCTATTCTGTTCCATTGGACAACAGGTTTTTGTTTGTTTGCTTGTTTTGCCAGTACCATGCTGTTTTGATTACTATAGCTTTGTAATAGATTTAGAAATCAGGTAGTGTGATATATCTGGCTTTGTTCTTTTTACTCAAGATTGCTTTGGCTATTAGGTTTTCTTGTGTGTGTTTTCATTTAAATTTTAAAATTATTTTGTCTATTTTTGTGAAAAATGTCATTGAAATTTTGATGTAAATTGCATAAAATTCATAGATTGCTTTGGGTAGTATGGATATTTTAACAATATTAATTATTCTAATCCATGAAGAGGAGATATGTTTTATTTATTTATGTTTTTTCTTTAATATCTTTCATCAGTGTTTAGAGTTTTCAGTATACAAAGTCTTTCATTTCTTTGTTTAAATTTATTCCTAAGTATTTGTTTTATAGCTGTGGTGAATAATCTTATTTTTTGACTTTTTAAAAATAGTTTGTTGTTAGTGCATGGAAACACTAATCAATTTTGTATGTTGATTTTGTATCCCGAAGCTTTACTGAATTTATTAGTTCTAACAGTTTTTGGATGGAGTTTTTAGGGTTTTCTATATATAAGATTATGTAATCTGAAAACCAAAATGATTTCACTTCTTGTTTTCTAAAGAGGATGCATTTTATTTCTTTCTCTTGACTAATTTCTCTGGTTAGGACATCCAACTCTATTTTTGAATAAAATGGGGAGAGTGGGCATACTTGTCTTATTCCTCATCTTACAGGAAAATCTTCCAACTTTTTACCATTTAGTATAATGTTAGCTATGGGCTTTTCATACATGGCCTTTGTTGTGTTGAGGTACATTCTTTCCATATTTAATTTATTGAGAGTTTTTATAATAGAAGAGTGTTGATTTTTTTCAAACTTATTTGATGCATGCATTGAGATAATCATATCACTTTTGTCCTTCATTTTGTTAATGTAGTGAATCACATTTACTGGTTTGCATATATTAAATTATCCTTGCATCCAAGGATAAATCCTCCACTTGATTATAGTAAGTGATCCTTTTAGTGTGCTGTTGAAATCTTTTTGCTGTTATTTTGTTGAGGAATTTGCACGTATGTTCATTAAGATTATTGACCTGTAATTTTCTTTTGTTGTAGTGTGCTCTCTGAATTTGGTATTTGGGTAATGCTGACTTCATAAAATCCATTTGGAAGTATTATCTCCTCTTTAATTTTTGGAGGAGTTTGAGAAGAATTGGTGTTAATTGTTTGCTAGAATTCAGCACTGAAACCATCAAGTCTTGGACTTTTCTTTGATGGAAGAATATTCATTACTGATTTAATCTCTTTACTTGTTGTTGTTTTGATCAAACTTTCTTTTTCCTCACAAAATAGTGTTGGTATTTTGTATGTGTCTAGGAATTTATCCATTTTATCTAGGTTATCCAATTTGTTGGTGTATAATTGTTTAAAGTGGTTTCAAGATCCTTTATATTTCTGTGTTATCAATTGTAATATCTCCTCTTTAATTTCTGGTTTCATATATTTGAGTCTTTCTTTTTTTTCCCTGTTGGTCTAGCTAAAAGTTAGTCAATTTTGTTTAGTTTAAAAGAACACAAATTTTAATTTGGTTGATTTCTTTTCTGTTGCTTTTCTCATGTCTATATTATTTATTTCTACTGTAGTCTTTATTATATCATTCATGCTACAAACTTTGGGTTTATATTGTTCTTTTTCTAGTTCCTTGATATGTCTGTCACATTAGGTTGTTTATCTGGGATCTTTTCCTTTTTCTTTGTAGACATTTATTACTAAACTTCCTTCTTAGAAATACTTTTGCTAAATGTTTTAATTTTGAATATGTTGTGTTTCCATTTTTGTTTCTCTGAAGATATTTTTAAACTTTTTTCTTTTAATCAATATTTATTTATTTATTTATTTATTTATTTAGAGAGGAAGTCCCACTCTGTCACCCAGGCTGGAGTGCAGTGGCATGATCTCAGCTCACTGCACCTTCCACCTCCCAGATTCAAGTGATTCACCTGCTTCAGCCTTCGGAGTAGGTGGGGTTACAAGTGTGCAATACACACTTGCAATACAAAAAAATTTTGTATTTTTAGCAGAGATGAGGTTCCACTATGTTGACCAGGCTGGTCTCGAACTCCTGACCTCAAGTGATCCATGCACCTTGGCCTTCAAAGTGCTAGGATTATAGGCGTGAGCCACCACGTCCAGCCATAATTTATTCTTGACCTGTTTGTTGCTTAGGACCATGCTGTTTAATTTTCAAATAGTTCTATTCTTTTTTGAAATTTCTCTTACCATTTATTTTTAGTTTCATAACACTATGGTCAAAAATATATTTAATATGATTTCAATCTTCTTAAATTTGTTAAGACTTCTTTTGTGGACTAAAGTATAATCTATGCTGGAGAATGTTCCATGTGCACTTGAGAGAAATTTGTTTTCTGTAGCTGTGGGTTAAAATGTTCTGTATATGTCTGTTAGGCCACTTGCTCTAAAGCATATAGTTCAAGTCCGATGTTTCCTTACTGATTTTCTGTCCAGATGATCTGCCCATCTTTGAAAGTGGAGTATTGAAGACTCCTACTATTGTTGTATTACAGTCTATTTCTCTCTTCAGATATATTACTATTACTTAGCTTCTCCAGTGTTGGTTATATATGTTTACAATCATTACATCTTGATTAATTAATACATTTATCATTATATATTGCCCTTCTTTGTTTTGTTTTAGAGTTTTTTACTTAAAGTTTATTTTACCTGATACACGCATAGCTAGCTACTCCTGTTCTCTTTTGGTATCCACTTGCATAGAATATCTTTTCCATTCTTTCACTCTCAGTGTACATACATTCTTATGTGTTATGCTTTTTTTCTCTTGCTACTTGCAGGACCTTCTCTTTGTCTTTGATTTTGGACAGTTTGATTATATCGTGTCTTTGTGTAGTCTTGTTTGGACCGAATTTGATTGGAGACCTTTGACTTTCCTGTACCTAGATATTTGTTGTAGCTAGTGGGTTGCTCTTGGCACTCGGAATGGTTTAGGGTCCCACTAGAGGTGCCAGTGGCACCGATGTCTGGGTGGCACACATGGAACAGTCACAAAGCTGAGGACTAAAGAATGAGAATGTGTGGAGAAACTACAGTTTTGGGAACTGGGGCAGTAATAGCACTAGTGCCTAGGGCGCAGGGACTCCCACTGCCATGTTGGTTACTGTCTGTGAGGCATGGATGATTGTGAACTAGCCAGAGTGCCAAGAATGACAGAATAGGCATGCACAGTGTTAGAGCAGCCCCAGGACTAGGATACTGCTTAACTCTCTAGGCAGCTGAGCTAGTGCCTGGGTCATAGAGGCTTACACTGCCACATTAGTAACAGTATGCAAGGTGATCATGAAACAGTATACTCATGAAATAGTTGAGAAGATGAGAATGGGAATGCAGGTGTGTGCAGGTTTAGAGCAGCTTCAGAAACAGGTATTCATCACAGCTGGGCTGATGTTCAAAGCATGGGCATATACTGCAAGAATTTGGCCCTGGAGCCTATGTGTGCAAACTAACATCTTATAGCTGTGGTTCCAGTATCTGAAAGGTAGGCTGTACCAGTACAGCCACAGAGCCTGGAGCTGAAACATGGGCACTTACAGGGAGGCTGGGCTTCAGGGTCAGGTTTTGCACAGAATACCTGCGTGAACATATGCATGTATCTGTGGCAGTTCTTTTCCTGAAGAAGTTTCTTTCCTGAGGTGACTGAACAGCAGCCAATTCTTGTGTGGGAGAAGAGTAAACAGTGGCGTCTCCCTCTCTGGGTTCCTCAGCCAGGATAGCTATTGATTCCTTCAGTGGCAAAAGATGCTGGTCTCCTTTGCAGAGCAGACTTGTGGAGACCACAGTGGTTCCGACCATGTAGCTGATACCAGTAGCTTTTACATTTCTTCTTTGCTTGTACTGACATCTTGCGTATTCTGATCTCATCAGTGATCCTTTCTATATACATGTTTTCCATTTTTGCTTCAACATGTTGTGGCAGATTCATTAATGAGCTCTTGAGCCCTCTCTGGCCTATTTTTGATTTTGAATAGCTGTCTATAGTTTTTCTGAGGGGGAGATGAGAGCTGCTATGCCCACTCCGCAATCTTTGTGACATCACTCCCAAGGTGAATTTCCTGATTCTCATTGCCTATATTAACATAACCATAAAGGCTAAATTATAGATGTTTCAGAAGCACACATATTAGATCTTTAAGAGCTTCCATGGAATTATCTCCTCAGCCCATTGAAGTAAATCATCAATTGTCTTGATAACATCTATCAAAAAGCAGGTATAAGCTGCCTGGAGAAAAATGTAGTTTTGTTTAATGGAAAGCATGCAAATAGATTTTTAAAATGCTTAATCATGGTTTTTTTGCAATTTTTAAAATAGATGTTCCTGTATAAAACATAAAACTAATGGGGGAGTACATATATAAATATATTAATGTTTCGCTTAGCAAAAGGTACACATTCTGAGAAATGCATTGTTGGACAATTTTGCTATTATTGTATGAACATCCAAGAGTATACTTACACAGCCCGAGATGGTACTGACTACTACATACCTAGACTACATGGTATCGCCTGTTGCTCTGATCACCATCTTATATACGGTTCATTATTGACTGAAATACTCTTATGTGGCACATGACTGTATATTTTAATTTCATTTCCCCTGCATATGATAAAACTAGTAGAAAGAAATATAATTTATCCTTCCCCACATCGATTTTTCATGTGTGACAAAAATTTCTTCTAATTTGTGGCTTATCATTTAATTTTCTTTACTTATGATTTGTATTTTCTGAGACTTAACAACATTGTTTATTATTATTTTTGGCTTCTGTGCCTTTTTAAAGAACTGTTTCTCTATCTAGAACCAAGACATGTATTTTAAAAGTTTTTAACATTATGTTTCACATACATGTATTTAATTTACAAGAAATTGATTTTTGAATATGAAAGACTGCTATATAAATTTGTATCTCCGTAAGGATATACAGTTATTCCAGCATGATTTATTGAAGAGTCTATAATTTTCCAGCTTGTCTACACTGTCATATTTATTCAATAATTAAACGCCATATTCTGTTTCATGAATTGATTTAAAAGGAATTAATGGAGTAAAATTATGGTATCTTACAAGCATAGCTTTTCATGTTTTGATATTCACCAGAGAAGATTTTCCTTTCTCATTTTAGGTAATGTTCCTTAAAAAAAATTATTTAATGTTTGTAACTTTGGGCTTTTGCCTTTCCATATGCATCTCATTACATCTTTTCAAGTTTTACAAATGATCTGCTGAAAATTTGATTGAAATTTCTTAAAATCTATTGATAAATTTAGGCATAATTGACATCTTGAATGTATTAAACCCTATATCCATAAACATATATTTTCATTGATTTGGATCTTCTTTACTGTTTTTCGAAGGTTTTTTAAAAAATGTTTTTTATAAAAGCTTTCTATATAGACTGAACTTGGGCATTATACATTTTTATCAAAAGCATTTGAAAAATTTCATTATCGAACTATTGTTGTTTAGAAATGCAACTGATCATAGTACATGGAATTTATATTATAGTGGATCAGAATATGTTACCCGGGACTATGGCTATAGGAGACCAGATTATGTCATCCCAAAATAAAATATACACTTTTTTTGACCTAGAAGATTATTTTGAGAAACAGCAGATATAATAGAAACTCTAAAGCCAGAGTAGAAATTACACTTTTATAAGGGAAAAGTATATTTATAAAGGAAATTTCTATTTGTAAAAGTCTATCCTTCTCTGTACCAGAAAGAGTATATGACTCTAAATCACAAGGTAATTTTATCTATGGAGAAGGCACTGACGTAAATCTGCCTATCAACTTTTATTCTTGTTCACCTTGGTTTTCATGGTCACCTTGCCATAACTTACCTCTCAGATATCCTTCTCTTTTTATATATATATATTTTAGCTGAAGATGGTATTTAAGTTTAAATGCTGAGCTACCCCTTTGAGAGTTGATTGCCCTGTCTTTTCTCCCATGTATGTATGAGATATACATGTTTGTTTTTCTCTTGTTAATCTGTCTTTTTTTACAAATGCCCCAGCTGAAAGCCTAGAAGGATAGAATGAAAACTATTGTTTTTCTAAAGTATAATATGTGTAATATATATTCTCCCGCCCCACCAAAGCAATTATTCAGTATTTATGGCAACCTTACAGAACATAACTGATGTGAATAACGAGAAACAAATGTACATGTGTAATGGAGTTTCTAAAACATATGGCCTCCAAGTACATTTCTTTTAGAATATAAACAAAGGAGCAAGTAAAAAATACATTGAAAAAAATCTTCAGTTACTTTTAATCTACTGAAGACATTCATTTTAAAAGGTATTCACTTCTATTTATTTCTAAGGCTGAAGTTTCCAGAAGCAGTCCAAACAATAATGCAAAAGGAAAGGAATGAAAATAAACAAAACCTTTCTTTTTATTGAGACTTTATTCAGCTTCCATTTCTAGATACACTGTAGGAAAGAGTCCATCTCTGTTTATCTTAAAAGTTATTGGCTATTTTTTGTTGACAGTTTTAACAGATTCACTTAGTGGAACCTAACTAGACTGCTCTGTGACAGTATCAGCAGGAGTTCTCACCCCCAGTTCAAGCAATCTATAAACCCAGCATGAGAGATCATGATAAAAGTCAGTTGTGAAACTCATACAGTGGGTGAAGTAGATAGTAACTCTGCATTTTTCATGAATTTTGAGGGGAAAAATGGCACAGCAGTTAATCACAGCATAATAACTTCAAAATGACTTGCTGATGAGTTCCCAAAAAACGTCCTAGTAAATCATTGAAGAGTATAGAGAACCTATTTGCTAAGCATAATTCAGCATGTTTTCTGCATAGGCTATTTATGATGCTAATTCATTACTATTCTTAAGAAAGGTCTAGGCTCTTCTTTCTTTGCAAGCTTCATTTAGTTGGTAGGGAAATTGTTCAGTAATCTCGAGTATACTGGCAGAATTGGAGGAGGAAATCTATCCCCTTGAATACCTTTTACTTTTTCCCTAGAGGAAAATAACTTTTTTTTATTTTATTTTTTATTTTCCACCTATCCCCACACACCTAGAGCTGAAAACCTGCCAGGCATTGAGGTTGGAATAAGAGTCCATACTTAGAATATTTGAATCTTTCTTTCATGGCTGACTCCTCTTTCCCTCATTCCAACTCCCTTGTCCTTCCACATCAGTGTAACCACTCAACAGGTTCATTTTGCCTGCTGCCTAGATTGAGCTGATTTATCAAGATAAAAGAATTAAAATAGAGAAAGAGCTTAATTCACACAGAGCAGTCTGAAAGGAAGACCTGAGTTTTATTATTACTCAAATTAGTCTCACCCCCAATTCAGAGACTGGATCTTTTTGAGGATAATTTGGCAGGTAGGGGGCCAGGGAGTGAGCATTGCTGATTGGTCGGGTTGGAGATAAAATCAGAGGGAATCAAAGCTGTCCTTTGTGTTGAGTCAGATCCTGGGTTGAGACCACAAAACCAGATGAGCCAGTTTATTGATTTGGGTGGGGGCAACTGATCCACTGAGTGCAGAGTCTGAAGAATATCTTGAGCACCAATCTTAGGTTTTAGGAGAGTGGTGTTAACCCTGGGAACAACTGAGGAGGTTCGGAATCTTGTGGCCACCAGCTGCATGGCTCCTAAGCCATAATTTGTAATCATGTAGCTAATTTGTTAGTCCTACAATGGCAGTCTGGTCCCCAGGCAAGAAGAAGATTTGTTTTCGAAAAACTGTTATTTTCACTGGTGTCCGTGTGAAGAGATCACCAAACAGGCTTTGTGTGAGCAGCAGGGCAGTTTATTTCATCTGGGTGCAGGCGGGCTGAGTCCGAAAAAGAGTCAGTGAAGGGAAATAAGGGTGGGGCCGTTTTATAGCATTTGGGTAGGTAAAGGAAAATTACAGTCAAAGGGGGTAGTTCTCCCTGGGCAGGGGCGGGGGTCACAAGGTGCTCAGTGGGGGAGCTTTTGAGCCGGGATGAGCCAGGAGAAGGAATTTCACAAGGTAATGTCATCAGTTAAGGCAGGAACAATACATTTTCACTTCTTTTGTCATTCTTTAGTTACTTCAGGCCATCTGGATGTATACATGCAGGTCACTGGGGATATGATGGTTTATCTTGGGCTCAGAGGCCTGACAGTTATCATCGTTGTCTCAAAGTTAAATTGTAAACTAAGTTCCTCACAAAGTTAGTTTGGCCTATGCCCAGGGATGAACAAGGACAGTTTGGAAGTTAGAGGCAAGATGGACTCAGGTCAGATCACTTTCACTGTCATAATATTCTCACTGTGATCATTTTTGCAAATGTGGTTTCATCAGTGTTTTTTATACGTACATTTGTCTCTAATTCTTCAATTTTGTATTCTTGAGATAAGTCATGAGTAACTTTTGTCAATTAGAAAAGACAGCCTGACATACACAGCACTGTTTCTCAACTGCTTCTCCTGAGAAAATCAAATAAGTGAGCCACTTTCGAAACAAAAGCAGCTTGGAGGACATGACTACATAGAAATTTCCTAGTCTAATTTTGTCATTGAAAAGTCATGCTCAACTCTTTTGCTATTATTTTCTGTTTTTAATTTAAAGTATAATTTTCACTTATGTAAAACATAAACATGTGTTAAAAAGTTTATTTAATTGTTTAAATAGCTAGTGAGGGGGCCTTGGGCTCTTGGTCCCTTAAAGAGTCATTGAAAAATCCCTGACATGAGGCAGATAGACTGATAAGAAAAATGGCATGCAAATGTATTTAGTGTATATACACAGAAGCCTTTAAAATGAAGACCCAACTTTCCAACGAGTTATGAGGAAGCTTATATACCATCTTGAGGTTACAAAAAAAAAAAAGAAAAAAAAGAAAAAAAGAAAGTGGGAGCTCAGATTCTGGTAAAACAGGTTATGGGAGAGGGGAGAAGAGGAATTCTATTGAAGGACAATAAATGGTTTCTAGGGAGGAATGAATGGATATGGATCAGGAACACAGATTAACTTGTAAATAGTTCAGTTGGGGATTTAAATAATCCTCAGAGACAGTCATCATAATTGTAAAAGGGTTTGTTCAGGAGTTGTTACTCTTGATCTTCTTTTCTGCAATAGATAATGAGGTAATAGGGAGGGGGAAGAAAAAATAATTCTTGTTCTAGGTGGGAAAACGGAAACTTCAACATCTGTGGGAGATACATGGAGAGGTGGGGAAAAATCAGAGAACCTGAGCTTCATCTTCAGTTCAGCATGTCAAAATGTCATATTTTGGGGTATTGTTTTCTGAGCCACAACATTAGCAAGCTAATTAGGCAATTATGAGTTCAGTTAAGGGTCCAGAGAGGCCCACTTAAGGGAGCAATATTCAAAGACAGTATTTGAATAATATAACTAGCTTAGAAAAGAAACTGGTTAAAACCCTGCATAACTATAAATCCGCTAGGGTTTATCTTTTTTACTACCAAAATTTATTTTAATTGGTCTGAAAACTAGAGGTTAACATATAACTTCACCAAGTGTAAGGCTTTCATTAATAGCAAATATGAAAAATAAAATAATGATACATTTCCTAGAAACCTAAATAATCCTTACTGGACTTGAATTTTTGAAGCAATCCTTCAGTGGAATATTAGAAGACATTCAGCGATCATCTGGCCTTATTTAAAAAGCTGCATCATTTTTATTACCTACTCTTTTTAGACTACAGAGTTTAGATAGAATGTTGACTAATAATATATATTTAATAAACATCAATTTATAATTTAAAATTTTTACTTCTCTTTTATTACTATACAAATATAAATACTTTTTCATTTCATTTTGGTCACCATTTTAGAAAATGTATCTGTTAGAACAGGTAACTTATATTTAATTTATATGTTTATATTATATATGTGTGTGTATATATGTATATATATATATTATTCATACACATATATATTTCTGACAGTTCTGAAGAGTGGGCATTCCCAGGTTGAAGTGCCTGGATCTGGTGACAGCCTTCTTGCAATGTTTTCTCATGGCAGAAGGTGGAAGGACAAGAGAGGGCAAGAGCAAGAAGGGACTGAGCTAGATTTTATAACAATCCATTCCCACAATAACAGCATTAATCCATTCATGAGGGCAGAGCCCTCATGATCTAAGCACCTTTATTTGGCCCCATCTACCAACACTTGAACTGGGGAGTAAGTTTCCAACACATGAAATCTGGGGGGACATATTAAAATCATGATGATGTGCTAAGTAATTTAACCTATGTTTCTGTGGTAAACAAATTTTCTTTGATTTTTAAAAATGCAGTCATATTGTAATTTTGTACTTTCTGTTAATTTCTGAGCTAACTCTTTGGATATGATTTTTTAAACTACTAAATCATATAAACCTAGAGAAGAAGGAAACTCTGAATTCATTGTGTATAATTTTCTTACTTTTTAGATGATGAAATTTAGGCTCTAACATGTTAAGTTAGCTTCTTAAGGTCATAGAGCTAGGCTGATGACACCATGATTAAATATAGAGGTTTTTGTTTGTTTGTTTTTGTTTTTTAACTTTTGTTACTGGTGGCAAGTCTGGGTAGACTCTGCAGTCCTCAATTCTTGTCTTGTTCAGAGAAAGAATTCAGCCAACACACAAAAGTAGATTTAAGGCAGAAATGAGAGTTTACTGATGCAAAGAAAAACACACTTGGAAGAAACCAAGTGGGCAACTCAACAGATTGAGTGCCCTACCTGATTGTTGGTTCAAGGCTCTTAAAGAATTGTTATTTCCTGTTCTTTTTTTTTTCGAGGTCTTGTCCCCTCATCCTTCCCCTTGTGTGAGCTGTTGGCTAATCACCGCATGCTCAGTGACTTGCCAGTATACTGGAGGAGCTGAGTGCGCCACTTGGTGGTTGAAGTTACAGGCATGCTCTCTTGGGGAAATTTTCCCTTACCAGTCTAGTGCATCTGGTGGAAGGTCAAACTCCACCATTTTGACCCTTACTGTAAACACCTATACATGTCCCCAAGGAAAGTCAAATTCCAACATTTTGCCCTTTACTGGCCATGCCTGAATATGTTTGCTCAATTCTTTTTTTTTTTAATACTTTCAGTTCTGGGATACATGTGCAGAATGTACAGGTTTGTTACATAGGTATACACATGCCATGGTGGTTTGCTGTACCCATCAACCCATCATCTACATTAGGTATTTCTCTGAATGCTATCACTCCTCTAGCCCCCCACCCCACAACAGGCCCTGGTGTGTGATGTTCCCCTCCCTGTGTCCGTATGTTCTAATTGTTCAACTCCCACTTATGAGTGAGAACATGTGGTGTTTGGTTTTCTGTTCCTGTGTTAGTTTGCTGAGAATGATGGTTTCCAGCTTCATCCATGTCCCTACAAAGGACATGAACTAGTCCTTTTTTATGGCTGCATAGTGTTCCATGTTGTATATGTGCCGCATTTTCTTTATCCAGCCTATCACTGATAGGCATTTGGGTTGGTTCCAAGTCTTTGCTATTGTGAACAGTGCCACAATAAACATACATGTGTATGTGTCTTTATAGTAGCATGATATATAATCCTTTGGGTATATACCCAGTAATGGGATTGCTGAGTCAAATGGTATTTCTGGTTCTAGATCCTTGAGGAATTGCCACACTGTCTTCCACAATGGTTGCACTAATTTATACTCCCACCAACAGTGTAAAAGCATTCCTATTCCTCCATATCCTCTCCAGCATCTGTTGTTTCCTGACTTTTTAATGATCGCCATTCTAACTGGCGTAAGATGGTATCTCATTGTGGTTTTGATTTGCATTTATCTAATGACCAGTGATGGTGAGCTTTTTTTCATATGTTTGTTGGCCACATAAATGTCTTCTTTTGAGAAGTGTCTGTTCATATCCTTCACCCACTTTTTTTTTTTTTTTTTTTTTTTTTTTTTTTTTGAGACGGAGTCTCGCTCTGTCGCCCAGGCTGGAGTGCAGTGGCGGGATCTCGGCTCACTGCAAGCTCCGCCTCCCGGGTTCACGCCATTCTCCCGCCTCAGCCTCCCAAGTAGCTGGGACTACAGGCGCCCACCACTACGCCCGGCTAATTTTTTGTATTTTTAGTAGAGACGGGGTTTCACCGTTTTAGCTGGGATGGTCTCGATCTCCTGACCTCGTGATCCGCCCGCCTCGGCCTCCCAAAGTGCTGGGATTACAGGCGTGAGCCACCGCGCCCGGCCGTTCACCCACTTTTTAATGGGGTTGTTTGTTTCTTTTAAATTTGTTTAAGTTCCTTGTAGATTCTGGATATTATCCCTTTGTCAGATGGATAGATTGAGAAAAATTTCTCCCATTCTGTGGGTTGCCTGTTCACTGTGATGATCGTTTCTTTTGCTGTGCAGAAGCTCTTTAGTTTAATTAGATCCCATTTGTCAATTTTGGCTTTTGTTGCCATTGCTTTTGGTGTTTTAAAAGTCGTGAAGTCTTTGCCCATCCCTATGTCCTGAATGGTAATGCCTAGGTTTTCTTCTAGGGTTTTTATGGTTTTAGGTCTTATGTTAAAAGCTTTAATCCATCTTGAGTTAATTTTTGTATAAGGTGTAAGGAAGGGGTCCAGTTTCAGTTTTCTGCATATGGCTAGCCAGTTTTCCCAACACCATTTATTAAATAGGGAATCCTTTCCCCATTGCCTGTTTTTGTCAGGTTTGTCAAAGATCAGATGACTGTAGATGTGTGGCATTACTTCTGAGGCCTCTGTTCTGTTCCATTGCTCTGTATATCTGTTTTGGTACCGGTACCATGCTATTTTCGTTACTGTAGGCTTGTAGGATAGTTTGAAGTCAGGGAGCATGATGCCTCCCACTTTGTTCTTTTTGCTTAGGATTGTCTTGGCTATATGGGCTCTTTTTTGGTTCCATATGAAATTTAATGTAGTTTTTTTCTAACTCTTTGAAGAAAGTCAATGATTACTTAATGGGGATAACATTGAATCTATAAATTACTTTGGGCAGTATGGCCATTTTTTCAATATTGGTTATTCCTATCTATGAGCACGCAATGTTTTTCCATTTGTTTGTGTCCTCTCTCATTTCCTTGAGCAGTGGTTTGTAGTTCTCCCTGAAGCGGTCCTTCACATCCCTTGTAAGTTGTATTCCTAGGTATTTTTATTCTCTTTGTAGCAATTGTGAATGGGAGTTCACTCATGATTTGGCTCTCTATTATTGGTGTATAAGATTGTTTGTGATTTTTGCACATTGATTTTGTACCTTGACACTTTGCTGAAGTTGCTCATAAGCTTAAGGAGATTTTGGGCTGAGACGATGGGGTTTTCTAAATATACAATCATGTCATCTGCCACATGTTTGCTCAATTCTTAGGATTTTATTGGGAGTTGTGGCCCACAATTAAGGGGCCACCTGACAATTACAAGACAGTCACCTGACATTACTTGGGGCACTATCCTGCCCTACTATTATCTGCCTATCTACCTACTCTAACTTCATAGCAAACCTGAATCTGATTCACAGTTTTAAGTGCCATGCATTAGTTAACTAAATTTTTATATTCTCTGTGTACAATGTCATAATGGTTGTCAATTGGAAAGTGGGGTTTTCTTTAGATAAAAAAAACTGCAGAATTAACTTTTGGAGATTGATAGTCTTAATTTTGTTATATATTTCCGAAGAGATACTATGCTTTATAAAATATTGCTGAAATTGAATGGTTTTCTATAACAAATAAATTTTGATCATACATGAAAATGTAGCTGAATATTAAATTAACAAAAATAAAAAATATAACATAGTTTTATATTAATTTTCTCCTGCAATTACTCTGTAATATGACTACATATTTAGTAATGAACTTGAAATAATTATTGAATATTCTACTGAATTTCTGAGATATTTTGATTTAATTTTGCAACTTGTATAATTGGTAATGAATTACTGATATCTTTTTCACTAAAACCTTGGCAGTGTTTTGTGTTGAAATGAGTATGTACTAAACTAGGAAGCTGGAGACATAAATTCAAGATTGTCTCACAAGCCAGGGCTTGTTATATAATTGTTTGAACAATTTATTCAAATTCTCTCGACTGCAATTTCTTTATCAGTAAAAAGAAGCAGTTGGATGAAAGGATACTTAATTCTTTCTAGAACTAACATTGTATGAATTCTGTAAGTGTTGCTGAAAAAGTGGTACTACATGGCTCACTGGCTTAGAATGTATTCAGGCAAAAAAAGTACCATTTTATTAAACTTCATGAAGCATCAATGATCAGTATCAGCTTCAAACCACCCACAGATATTATAATTGCTTTGGAAGTCTTAGCCAATTAATATCACATTTTTACAAAATTATTTAAACTGTACTTCATGCAGAGGACTGTTAAAATCACAACACATTTTTAACAGTTACCAAAGGAAACTTTTACAACAGACTATAGAAATAAAATTAACTTAATTAACACAGTATTTATTTCATTTCATTTCAGTCAGGCTAATTATATATAAGTCATATCTACTGAAGGCATTCTGTCCCTGTGAAATTTAAAATAAAATTGCCTCAAACTTTATATATTTTGGGAAATTGAGCACCCTGACCAACTATCTCCAGGGTCTTGCTATGTGGAGGTCCAGAGAACATGGTATACCTACTTCAAGATACCTATGTTTATTAAATTTGGAAGATTTCTAATATTTCAGGGGTTTTTTCACTTATTTCATTCTTTCCATTCTGTCCTTTCATTCTTTCCATTCTGTCCTTATGTTAACTACAAATTTTGGATAACAGTATGGGAATACACTACAATAAGTTATAGGTGACTATTAAAATATATTAACTCTTCCTCTTCAAATTGTTTGGCTATGACCCCATGGGTGATATGTACCCTGCTATATGTTTTATTATTAAGCTGCCTCATTCGAATTTGATGTTTTCTTGTCTTTGCTAGCTCACATCTGATGTTTGTTCCTGATATTTGCTGATAAGCTTTTGCAAATATAAAATGTCAAATTGCCTCTTGAACAAACATAGCTTCTTCCAGAGGAAATATAGTAGTCAGATAGTAGGCTAATTTTTTCTTGTCTTTACTAAACATGCATGCTATATGTGTATATGGTGTATATGGTAATTTTCTGTAATTATTATATACAAAAATTATTATATACATATATAGCATGTTTATATAATATACAAAAAATTTTACAATGAAAAAGTTGGTGGAGAAATTAGGATATTGTAAAATATTTACATTAAAATACTGTATTTTTATAACCATTTAATTTAGAAAATTACTTTCTGATAAAAATATTAAATGTTATATAAAATTCTGCTTATTAATATTAACTAAATAATATTCATGGTATGAATCAGCACTTTCAAGGTTATAATAACATGTATCTTAAAAGATTTGTAATAGAAGTAGAGTAGTGGTTTTCATTGCTTTTGCATTTCTAACCCCCAAAAGTATTTTGAAAAACCGTTGACAGCCCTACATATTTTTAAGATGCCATCTAATATTTATTAGTTTAAATATTTCAAAGGTGGTAATTTCTAAAACATTGTACATGTTGACACTTAAAAATAAAACTGTTACATTACCTTTTGAATATATCTAAAAGATACCATTTAATACATACCATTACCCATTGGAAAAGCAAAATGAGACACACGAATGTGATACACCTGGGAGTGAACAATTAGGTCAACAAAAAATGTAAGAGATAATGAGGGTCTGAATTCAATGACAAATGAAATAGAAAAGGGGGACTGCACTATAAATATTTGAGAAATAGAACTAATAGAGGGACCCTTGAGAGAGAAGTAAATGGTGACTCAAGAAGTCTCTTCAGCTAATTGGGAGCATTAAAGGTTTAGGTTTGGTTAATGGAAAGTGTTTGCCTAAGCCAATTTTGTGTTATAGAGTGTAATGTTAATAGTAGAGCTTACATGAAAATATCCAACATGGAGTTTTAAATTATCTCTGCCTATGGATGGCAGTCTAAGATGTGGGTCCCAACTTGCCTGTAGAAAAATAAATGCCACTGGGGGCAAAGTTGATTGTCAGCCTTGGCAGGAGATAACATTGATGCTCTGGGTCTTTCCAATCACATTTTCATTAGTATTGTCCGCAAGATACAGAGTAAATTCAAGAGCAAACAACTTTTAATCTGAGAATATCTGTGAATTATCCAAGGTAGCAACAATCAAAATAAGAGATGATGAAAAAATAACAAAGTACCAATAGGTCTTTAAAAAAAAATCTTCAGGCTTGAAGATTATGGCTAGACCATTGGTTGTCAAATCTCTCTGCAACTTACAACAACTGGAAAGCTTTAAAAAATATAATGACATGGATGTACCCATAGAATAAGAAGATACTGTGTATGGGACCAGTATATATAATAATATACATACTCACTTTATACTCTTTAATGTAAATGTTGTACTTTGTATATTCATTATATTACGCATATTCATTATATATATCCATTTAATATGCTTTAACTTAAAAGTTGTGTGCTTTTAGATTCTTCAGAAAGAATAAAATATGTGAAAGACATGCAGAATTATGTCTGCCTTTGGATGGCAGAGATGCATGCCATCATTTCAGTGCATGTTGAACAATATTTTCTATACAATGAGTAAAAGTCTTGCTTAAATACACACACGTACACCACATACACACACGTATTTTTGAAGTGAAAGTTACAAAATAATGGACACCAAGAACAGTCTAACACCTTTATTTGTGTCCTGCAATATATACAAGTTTTGAATATTGTTATTATATAATTATGTTATATATTATATACAATATATAATAATGTATTATTTTATGTTATATTATATACAATATATAACATATTATATGTTATATTAATAATATATTATATATTATTATATGTTATATTAATAATATGTTATATGTTATATATTATATATAATAATTGTATATAATTATAATATATTATAATTATATTTTATAATATAAATATAAGTATAAATATTATTATTACAAGTATTATAGTGATTGACATAGCTTAGTATGAATGAATGAATATTAGCATCTTAGTATATTAGTAAATGCAGATTATAGTTTGTCAATGTTTTGAGTAATAGATATAATATAGGATATGATCATTGATCATTATAAATATTTGACAAAACATAAACTAAAACTGAAATACATTCTTTAATATCCTTTGAAAAAAATGTCTTCAAAGTGTTTGAAATATTTTAAAGAAACTAGAAAGTATTTTAAGTAAGACTGCAATAAAAATCTTTGAACTAATTTTTAAAATTCAAAGGACTGTAAATTCTAAATTAATGCTGCTTGAAAGGTACAAGCTAAAATATACATCAAAAATTAGCTATAAAGTAATTTTCAGTACCATAAATTCAAAAATTGGACAACTTTATTGGAAAAGTTTTATAACTATATTATTAGTGTATCAAAATATCAGAGATACATTTAATGAAATAATTAAACATGGTATTTAAATGATAATTATTCAGAAGATCGCTCAACTGTATACTTTATTTGATGATGTAAACTATAGTAAAAACATAGTATTTCTTCTTACTTTATTAATAGTTAACTGAGATTGAGTTATTCCTGTTTGGGTTTGGTTATTAAGACGCAAAGATGAAAAATTATATTTATGCCCATGAAAAACCTTACAGCCTAATCTTGGGGAGTGAATATGTGGCAATCATTTCTGTACCTGCAGAAAAACAACCAGTAGTTACATGCAAAATCTATTGGGAGTAGCCAAAAAAAATTTTTTTTCTTTTCTTTCTTTTCTTTTTTTCTCTTTTTGAGATAGTGCTTACTCTTGCACAGGCTGGAGTGCAGTGACGTGATCTCAGCTCACTGCAACCTTGGCCTCCCAGGTTCGAGCAGTTCTTGTGCCTCAGCCTTTGTAGTATCTGGGATTCCAGGATAAGCCACCATGCCCAGCTAATTTTTGTATTTTTAGCAGAAATGGGGTTTTGCCATGTTGGCCAGAAAAGAACTAAAGACTGATTTCAAATTCCTGGCCTCAAGTGATCTGCCCACATCATCAGCCTCTCAAAGTGTTGGGATTACAGGCATGAGCCACTGCACCTGGCCTGCTTTTATTTATTTTCCTTAGGTTTTTATTTATTATAGCTTCTCTCTTTATTCTATTTCATGTTTTATGGATTTTGTATAATATTAACTTTGATGTTTCTAAACAGATTTTAAAGGACTGTGATATTATTAAAAGTGGGAGATTGTTTAAAATCTTCCATTTCATCAAACTCTCTCATTATAATTAAGGAAACTAGGATATGGTGAGGTTGTGACTCTTCTGGAGTTACGGAGCAAAACAGTGTAGAACTTACCTAGATTTGACATTGTTAGAATTATCCTCTGTGTGTTCTCCAGACATAGGCCAGGCTGATGCATTTGCAGAATAAATGACATGACAGTGCATCTTGGGGTCAAGTAGAAAGGTAATTTCTTTCAGTCCCATTTTTCTTTTTGCTATATCCGAAGTTGTGTTTCTTGCTGTATTCTTGTTGTTCATCTTGTTGGTGGCAGTGGTGGCCCATCTGGAACAGCTACTACATGGAAGCCAGCTGCAGTGGAGGAGGCTTGACTGGGGATGTGCAATCTGTGGAGCTGGCAGGGGCTGCCCAGTGTTCCCAGGTGCAGCGGCAGCCACCCAGCTGTGGCTCCTGACCCAGATATCCTTGTGCTCTTGGGATCCTGGGAAACCCCCTGCCCCTGCAGGTTCGTAAGTGCCTGCTCCTGGTCTCTGGCCTCTCCGCACTCCCAATGCCTGCTCCAGTGCAGAGCAAAGTTGTGGCCGAGCCCAGGCACCGTCATAAGCCAGCCTGCTGTGCACACACTCAAGGCTGCACTGACATACCACCCCTACTGCCGCCTTGACCCCCTCCAGGCTTTGGGTGCTGGTGAGCTTGGGAGGGAGGCCAGGTGTCTGAGGTCAGCTTGGTGCTGGCCTGCAGTTGCCCCTTGGCACAGACAGCCTGGGCACGCTGGATGGCATGTTGATGGCAGTAGGAGGCAGACAGGTTTCTAGGCAGGAAAGAAGGTCCCCAGTGAAACCCCACCTTCAAGCAAGAGCAATGGACAGCCTGAAGCCTGGGGGCTCGGATGCCAGTTCTGGGTGGAGTCTGTGACCAGAGTGAGAACTTATGGTACTTTTTCCAGGTCCTCCCATGGCCACCCATGAACCAATCAGCATGGATTTCCTCGCTTGTGAGCTCATAAAAACCCCAGGACTCAGCCAGATTCAGACACTCTTCCTGATGACCTCCCTGCAGATAGGAGCTACCCACTTCGGGTCTCCTCTACACAAAGACCTGTCTGTGGAAAGGACCCATTTTGGGTCTCCTGAGAGCTATTCTGTCACTCAATAAAACTCCTCTCTGCCTTTTGCTAACCCTCCAGTTGTCAGTGTAACCTCATCCTTCTTGGATTCAGGAAAAGAACTCAGGACCCACCAAACCTCGGGAGTGAAAGGAGCTGTAACATGTTCCTGGCTGGCTTGCTGAGCTGCAGGTGGTGACGCACTCCCAGACTGTAAGAGTAAAGAGTGGCAGTTCTGGGAGCCCAGACCTCAGAGCTCCACAAGCCAGGGCTGTGACATGTTGTAACACCCTCTTTGGGGCTCCGCAGTTCCTGGCATCTTTGAGCTCTCAGTTGCCACTGCGTTCTCCTCCTCTGGATGCTGGTGCCTGCAGCAGAGACTGCTTGTGGCATGTTGTATGTCTGGTCCAGCTTTAGCCTCACACAAACTCGCACCTGTGCCAGCGCCTGGAGCTGCCTGCCCCACTGCAGTAGCAGTAGCTGGCATGCCTGCCTGTATGCAGTGGCTGGACCCTGCACTCTTTCACGCACACACTCCTCACCACTCTGCACCTGGCTCAGCCTTGGCAGGTGTGGGATCTGGGCTGGCAGCGTGAGATGAGTGAAGCCTGCTGGGCTGGGTGGGCGGAGCAAGCCTAGCAGGTGCCAGCAAATCTCAAGCAGAGGCTTTACTGGCCACAGAGGTGTCTGGCTGGTGAAGTGACACCCGAAGGATCTTGCGACATTGTTATAATTCTTGTTATAATTTACTTTGGAATATCAACAATTTACCATAACTATACCATCTGTACATTTTTAATGACTAAAATCTCTTTATATTGATTTCAAAACAGTTCTTAATATACTGAAACCAGATCTATGACATATATTATTACCATATACTGTTATGATACAAATAATGGTATTTGTTTTCTACTTTTATTATCCAAATTATCCTAAGAATTAAGTACATGTGATATTAGAGACAATTTTAAAACACTTTAAGGTTCATATTCATTAAGTTATATAGAATTCATATGAAAAGACAGTAACATTGGACAAGATAAAAGTACCAGCAACCTTAAGTGAATTGTTGCAAAATTAAGTCAAGGTACACCTGAAAAAACTAAAGACATATTACAAGAAAATTTTGAGGATATTAAAATTTATAATGCCCGTGGAACTAATATTGCTAATATTTTTTTCTGAAAATACCTACATTATTATAATATGGTATTGTAAAGATTTCATCAATTAAGATAATGTTTTCTTTAGAGAAGCACATACTGGACAAGTTACTCAATCTTCCTCAAGATTCTTTCTCTGTCTGTAAAATAGGAATGATATCTCTCTTACATGGACTTTAATTAAAATGAGACATCTCATGTAATATCACTAAAAGAGGATCTGACACATGTTAGTCCTTCAAAATTCTCTCTTAGTCACACATACACACACACACACACACACACAAACCCAGCAGTCTCCTCCACATATTAAATAGTAAAGCTGTAAGGGAAATTTTATGAGTTCAGTTATGCATATATTTTTAAAAATAAATGGGGTCTTTCTATGTTGCCCAGGCTGTCCTCAAACTCCTGGTCTCAAGCAATCCTCCTGCCTCAGCCTTCTGAACAGCTAGGACTACAGGTGTGTGCCACTGCACCCAACTTAAGAGTTTAAGTATTATAGGTTGGTACCAATAATGTGAAAATGACCCCCTAAAACAGTATTTTTCAGGTGGAAAAACAAAATAGTTAAAGATTGAAAGAAAAATGAGGGCAACAATATGCAGAAGGACCATTGAGCAAAGCTAGAACAGCACAGACCAAAGGAAATATAATGTGAGCCACAAAGGCAAGCTATTTATGCAATTTTAAAATTTCTAGTAGCCATGTTAAAAAAGTGAAAATAAAGGTAAAATTAATTTTAATTATATATTTGATTGACTCCAATATATTTTAAAAGTTTCAATTGCCTTATTGAGATATTTTACAGTATTCATCTTTTTACTGTTTTTGAAAATCTGCATTTTTTATACTTACAGCACACCTGAATTTGAACTACTCAAATTTTACATGTCTAATAGTGACTATTCATTATTGTCTCAGACAGTTCAATTCTAAAATGTAAATTAGAGTCCCAAAAACTAATTACGAAAGTAAGAAACAGTTATTAATTTGCCAACAAAATTCGGCTAGACAATAATGAAGTGTGAGTGTTTTAAGACTAAAAAATATTTGAACCAGCTTCTGTAAGTAATCACAACTTCAAAGTAAAATTAAATTACAATATGAATGTTTTTAATAAAAGTGTCAAATGTAGTTTTATGCAAAGTGAAAATTAAATATATAAACATTTTTCTTGAATAAATGTATAATAATAAAAGTATATTGCTAAGTAATATGAACTAATATATAGTGAAAAAATAAAGTAAAGGGCTAAATAGATCATTTAAGCAGTCATATGCATTGTAAAAGATAAGAGAAGAAATAAAACTCTAGGTGGTAAATTTATTTCTTACTACACCTTCAGGAATGTTATTTGGTAATTTATAAATCTATTAAAGTAGAATTGCTAGTAATGGTGTGAAGTAAATTCAGTTTATTTCACAAAGTAGAATGAATTAGTTTATTTCATGGTCGTTTTAAGTGTACCATAAAGATAATGAAAACATAAATTTTATTATTTGGTCAGAAATCACTTTTATTACTTTTGATTGATAGTGACTGTAACTATCACATTCTATAGCCTGATGATCATCTTGGGTTTGTGCTCTGAAATTTGCTTTGAAACAGTCTTTGGAATATAATTACACCAGGTACAATTTGAATTGTTTCTTTTTTTTTTTCCTTGTGTAAAGTTACAGTACAAAATCAATATTTTTATGACCAAGAAGAAATTGAAAACAACATATGAATGCATAATTGTGCAAATTAAGAGTTTTGTAGTGAAATATATGTTGAGATCAGGGCTGATACCAGACAAAACTGGGATACTTCTAACTTTAATTGTGGTACACTGTATGCACTGACTTAAAGCCTTCTACTCCTTCTTGGCTAGACATTGCTTTCTGTAATTAGCCTTTGTGCCATTTTATGAATCAGGGAACAGAAGGCCGTCATTCACTTAGTAATCTTTCTGATAGGGCATTGCTATTTTTAACTGAGGACTTTATCTATTCAACTGAGTACCTGCAAAATGTGAAGTACTCAGTCTTGTGTCTGGGGGAAATGGTGAAGAGGATAGAAAGTAAAAGTGGTGTATAGTAATTACTGTAGAAGGCAGATAGCTAAGTAGGCAAATATGGCATACAATGACAAAGTTATGGAAACTGTAATAGAGTGAACATATAGGAAAAGCATCTTTCAAAACAAGATGGGCTAGGGAAGGATTCTTAAAAGAAAAGGGAATATTTTCTTGGCTGATATCAGTATAAAAGCAAGCCAAAAAATAAAGAAGGAGGTTGAGAGAAAGTTCAGGAAAGAGATTGTTTAATTAATTTCTTGTTCAAAGATACAATAATAAAAATGTAGTCAAATAATTGCTTGATAGGTGTTAGAACATATCATGCGGATACTAAATCTTTGAAAAACCCTCACAGGAAAGGGAAAGTATCTTTGTATCTGTGGGCTACTATAACAAGTACCATAGCCTGGATGGCTTATAAACAACAAAAATTTAACACAGTTCCAGAGGCTAGAAGACAGAGATCCAGTGACAGGACGATAGGATCCTGGTGATGGAATGCTTCAGATTGCCAATTGCCGTCTTCTCATATCCTTACATGGCAAAAAGAGAACTAGTGAATTTTCTGGAGTTTCTCTCATAAAGGCAGAGCCCTCATGACCCAATTACCTCTCAAAGGTACCACTTCCTAATGTCACATGGGTAGTTGGAATTTCATCTTGTGAATTTTAGAAGGACACATATATGAAGTTTATAACAGAAAGGTTTCTTTCCATTGACATATTTTTTAAATATTTTATATATTTTGATTAATGAATATGAGTATGTAATAATAAATAACTTCCTTTATTTAAATGTAAAAATCAGCTTGAGATTTGGACATTATCAATTGCTTAAAAAGGAGTACAGAACACCTCATGTTCTAATACGTTGGCAAAAATTAACTACATATAACTCATCATTATTTTATAAAAGATTATTAAGGTGTTTTAGAGATGTTTTTGTTTGTTTTGTTTTAATTTGTTTTTACAAGCAAGATTTCTAAGTGTTAATCTTAATGAAGGAACTGGTAAATTTTCATCAAATTAACAATAACAAAAGTCTCATAGGTAAACTTTTTTTTCCTATTAATATGATTTCCCTCAATAGTACAATATCACTCTAAGATATAAATCATTGAATTCTCTGTGCTCGTTTTAGACAAAAGTATTGACAGGAGTATAATCCAGATTCTTGTTTTAGATGCTGGACATAGCTTCCTGTTTATCACTTTGTTTTCATGTTTCTACAGTTTTACATTTTCCTTTTATTGAACAAAACATTATGATCTATCCTATATCCCATGAAAGGAACCTCAGTGATAGATTGCTGTGATCTTCTGTTGCCTACACTGACATTTCTAAACTGTTTCTGATTACTGAATCCTTTTCACATTACAATATGCTGTTTCAGATGAAGCCACTTGGCAAAAATAAGACATGTCAGGTTATCATTTTAGGAGGATATCACTATAGAAGTGAATTTATATTTTTCTAATGATTTTTGTCAGAATGATTTCAGTAGAGCTGTGGACATAGAAACTTAAAAACAATGAATTAATCTGCCATCACTTGCATCATATAAATTCAGGTGAGATTCTAACTCCAATACCTTGTTCCCAAAACCAAAGTGCCGATTTGAATCAATTCTTCATTTAAAAGAAACAACAGATAGTGAATATATTTTTCATTAATGCAATTTCCTCGATATTTGGCTTTATTGTTTAAAATAAGTACCTTAGAACTGAAAGGCTTTTGCCTCTGATCACAAATTTGAATCTCATAATTTCTGGCAATTTTGGTTACCCCTTTTATTTTGAATCTTAGCTCTAATATGAAAGATAATTACATTAGTATCATCACAGTTTGAGAGTAAATTAAATTTAAAAATGGTTTGAACCCCTTGTGAGAAAGATGCTATGTCCCCATTAATATGACACATAAACATCTTATCCATTTGTTCCTGGGCATTAAATAAATTAAATTGCCAGAGAGAATGCATCTGCACATGATTAATAAATTGAAAATTTCAGCTTCAGCTATGTGTATAGTGTCATTCTCGATATATGAGAAATTCAGCAGGTCTTCAAATGGTACCTACTGAATTGGTAGTTTGTGCAATATTTGAAAAAAAAATTGCAGTTTAAAGTAAAATTATTTAAAATAATTTGAATCATCAAGCCAATTTCATTTTCATGTTAAGTATAATGATTACAAGATTTTTAAAAATAAACTCCTGTTAAAATGTCTTGAACAACTTGAGAGAACAATGTTTATTTCTTAGTTAGTGGATTCTTACTTCTAATAAAGATGGATCACTTTTGCTTAGGGTCACTGAAAAAGTTCCAAATAAATGTAAAAGCAATCTTTAAAGACAACATAAAGCTAGCAAAGTAGTCGAGATAACAAGTTTGAGATGCCATGAAAGATAAGGAGATAAGAGGTAAGTCTGGAATCTGAATCCATTTTGCCTTGAGGTTTCTCCCTGATCAGAAAGATATAGTATCTCATAGTGGTTTTGATTTGCATTTCTCTGATGGCCAGTGATGATGAGCATTTCTTCATGTGTTTTTTGGCTGCATAAATGTCTTCTTTTGAGAAGTGTCTGTTCATGACCTTCGCCCACTTTTTGATGGGGTTGTTTGTTTTTTTCTTGTAAATTTGTTTGAGTTCATTGTAGATTCTGGATATTAGCCCTTTGTCAGATGAGTAGGTTGCAAAAATTTTCTCCCATGTTGTAGGTTGCCTGTTCACTCTGATGGTAGTTTCTTTTGCTGTGCAGAAGCTCTTTAGTTTAATTAGATCCCATTTGTCAATTTTGTCTTTTGTTGCCATTGCTTTTGGTGTTTTGGACATGAAGTCCTTGCCCACGCCTATGTCCTGAATGGTAATGCCTAGGTTTTCTTCTAGGGTTTTTATGGTTTTAGGTTTAACGTTTAAATCTTTAATCCATCTTGAATTGATTTTTGTATAAGGTGTAAGGAAGGGATCCAGTTTCAGCTTTCTACATATGGCTAGCCAGTTTTCCCAGCACCATTTATTAAATAGGGAATCCTTTCCCCATTGCTTGTTTTTCTCAGGTTTGTCAAAGATCAGATAGTTGTAGATATGCGGCATTATTTCTGAGGGCTCTGTTCTGTTCCATTGATCTATATCTCTGTTTTGGTACCAGTACCATGCTGTTTTGGTTACTGTAGCCTTGTAGTATAGTTTGAAGTCAGGTAGTGTGATGCCTCCAGCTTTGTTCTTTTGGCTTAGGATTGACTTGGCAATGCGGGCTCTTTTTTGGTTCCATATGAACTTTAAAGTAGTTTTTTCCAATTCTGTGAAGAAAGTCATTGGTAGCTTGATGGGGATGGCATTGAATCTGTAAATTACCTTGGGCAGTATGGCCATTTTCACGATATTGATTCTTCCTACCCATGAGCATGGAATGTTCTTCCATTTGTTTGTGTCCTCTTTTATTTCCTTGAGCAGTGGTTTGTAGTTCTCCTTGAAGAGGTCCTTCACATCCCTTGTAAGTTGGATTCCTAGGTATTTTATTCTCTTTGAAGCAATTGTGAATGGGAGTTCACCCATGATTTGTCATCTCACACCAGTTAGAATGGCAATCATTAAAAAGTCAGGAAACAACAGGTGCTGGAGAGGATGTGGAGAAATAGGAACACTTTTACACTGTTGGTGGGACTGTAAACTAGTTCAACCATTGTGGAAGTCAGTGTGGCGATTCCTCAGGGATCTAGAACTAGAAATACCATTTGACCCAGCCATCCCATTACTGGGTATATACCCAAATGAGTATAAATCATGCTGCTATAAAGACACATGCACACGTATGTTTATTGCGGCACTATTCACAATAGCAAAGACTTGGAACCAACCCAAATGTCCAACAATGATAGACTGGATTAAGAAAATGTGGCACATATACACCATGGAATACTATGCAGCCATAAAAAATGATGAGTTCATATCCTTTGTAGGGACATGGATGAAATTGGAAACCATCATTCTCAGTAAACTATCGCAAGAACAAAAAACCAAACACCGCATATTCTCACTCATAGGTGGGAATTGAACAATGAGATCACATGGACACAGGAAGGGGAATATCACACTCTGGGGACTGTGGTGGGGTCGGGGGAGGGGGGAGGGATAGCATTGGGAGATATACCTAATGCTAGATGACACATTAGTGGGTGCAGCGCACCAGCATGGCACATGTATACATATGTAACTAACCTGCACAATGTGCACATGTACCCTAAAACTTAGAGTATAATAAAAAAAAAAATAAATAAAAAACAACTCTCAGAAGCAAAAAAAAAAAAAAAAAGCAATCTTGCAGATATCTGACCAGTCTAAGCTGTTCAAAGATATGTTGCATGGAGAAAATAGAATAGTAGAAACCTAGACAAAGACTGGGAAATAAAGATGGTCTTATCCCCAAAAAAAAAAAAAAAAAAAAAAAAAAAAAAAAAAAAAAAAAAGATATAGTAGAGTCAGATACTAACTTCTGACAGGCTTAGGGGAAAAACAGGTTCAGCTACAAAAGGGCTCAGTGAAAAATAATGGATGGGAGTGGACAAAAAGCATCTGTCTAGTCATTTGGGGAATTCACTGTACCACTGGTCCAGGGAGGATGGTTGCCACCTTGCCCCTCCCTGAGACATTTCTGGCCAACTCCAGAGCCCAATGCTCCCTGCATTCCAGACCAGGACATCTGTATGGTGGAACATCGATCTCCCTGACTAATGTAATCTGTAACTGTTCTGGCCAATGGGCGGCAGCCATTGAACCAGATCAGGAAGGACAAGGATAGGCAGACAGGGTTGACTGGGAGAAGCTGTCAGAAAAATTCTTCCTGAGGAGAAAGTCAGGTTGGAAAAACATATGAGCTGAGGCATTAAGCCCCCAGTATATCATATGTTATCCCAGCAGACTTTATAAACACTAATTCAAAAATGAATGTTTTAAGAATTTCAATAACGTAATTGCAGAAAATGAGACCTTAAATATAAGCCCTTCTCTGTGTGGTACCCTGTGGGAGTGCACTGGGCACATGTTCTTAAAGACAGCCCTAGGAATACAACAGATAAGGTCTTCATAGCAACTAAACAGCTACAAGCACAAAAGCAGCTACACACAGCAGTAATGAGCAGAGGTGTAGTCTCATAAAATTTTATTTACCAAAACAGGAAGGCAGGCATATATGGGTTCAGGCTGCAGTTTGCCAAATTCTGGTATAGAGCATAACAAAGTAGAGCCAAAGTATTTTAAAATAGTTTATATAGGAAACATACTGCATCTCCAGTTCTCCCCATGGGCATTTGGTGATATAGCTTTATGTCTCTGCATTAGGTTTAGTTAATACATTGCCTGCTATAAAATTAGATACAGATTATTGTAGTAAGATCTATTAGTCCAGGAATATCTGCTACAGCAAGCGTCCTCAGCCCCTGGGCCAGGGACCAGTGCCGGTTTGTGTCCATTTAGGAACCAGGCCTCACGGCAGGAGGTGAGGGGAGGGTGAGAGAGCATTACTGCCTGAGCTTTGCCTCCTGTCAGGTCAGGGGCGCATTAGAGCCTCACTGGTGCTCAAACCCTATTTGAACTGCGCATGTGAGGGATCTAATGCCTGATGATCTGAGGTGGAACACTTTCATCCTGAAACCACCCTCCCCTCCCATCTGGTGGAAAAATTGTCTTCCAGGAAACTGGTCCCAGGTGCCAAAAAGGTTGGGAACCACTGTGCTACAGAACATCAGGAGCACACCTCCTTCCTCAGGCATAAAACTGAGTTAGTCTTTGAGCAAGTTTGAGTTGAATTGTCTGTGTATTTGTATCCAGAGAATGCTGAAGCAGGGCTTCATAGGGTGGGTTTAATACTCAGCAAATCTTATAGTGTAGAACAGTTGCAGAATATTGAAGTGAGTTCATAAGGAGAAGCATGAATTTAGATCATCGGGTTCAAATTGGAAAGGATACAATCATAGAGAAGAGGTGGAGATAAGTGCCGGGAATCAGACAGATACAGAATTTCTTGGAAATGGATTGGGATAAAGGAACAGATTGAATCGCTGTGGAAACTTCCATTGGATAGTTCCTTTGCAGTACAACTTAAAAATAAAAGTGTACATTTACTTTTCAAGAGGTACTACTGTGCTGGGTCTACAGAAGTCTACAGTTATTATGAAATGACTTAATTCAGTTATTAAAAGCTTTGACAAGTTGCAATTTTTTAATGTCCTATAAAAATAATAATTAGAAAAAGAAGTTGCCATAATTGATAACCTAATTGATTCAGTGAATACAGGTTTATGGAATTTACCTTCAATTTAGCAAACTAAAATTTAAATAATCACAAATAATGAAAATATATTTCATTTCCTTACATAAGTATCTTTCTTTATCAATAAATTCTGCATTAAGTATGATCATGTCACATTACTTATTTGTAGAATAGTTCTTTGGACATTTTCACTTTTGTAGTTTGTTAGTAGCAGATAACACCACTATTTTTATAATTTAAGAATAAACTATATACCAAAGTGTGGGTCAAAGTTCAGGGGCCTGGGTGAAGGAGAGAAGTCTGACTAAAGTTTGATTAAGTTTTATCTAAATTTGTCAGTGGAGAAAACAGCTCAGCCAACCATTTATGAGATAAAGAATGGGAATTTGGAGAGTCTATCTAGCCTTGTCAAGGTAAATAAGGAGGCCTCTGTATCTGTTTAAATCATATTGGGAAGAGTGTTTCAGAAGCTGTTGCCCAAATCACAAAAGGATTAGGAAGATTTCTTGACCTTCTCTGTTTCAGGGAGTACAGGGCTTAGGCAAATTGCAACATTGTCACTATAACCAATTACATTTGATTCCCTTAACCTGAAAAGAATAACAACAACAAAATTCCAAAAGATACAGACAATTTTCAAAGTAAAAAGTTCAAATGGCACATAAATATATAAAATATTTTCCATTTCAGTTATTGCATAAATACAACTTTTTCAAGTGTTGTATTTTGCCTATCATATTAGATAATACAAAATCCAATAATCCCAATACAATACAGACACTATATACACTAATATTAAAAGTAGGCATGCAAACATTCACATACATACACACACACATACAAGTAATCAGGAACATATTTTATCTACATAGATCTAATTCTAGAAGTATTATAAAACATTCATTACTGTAATATTATTAAAATTTATTTTGTAGTTGAATATGGTATGTATAGTGCTGTTCTCAGATCCATTTAAGATAGCAAACACTTGAATACCCTCTATGACCAACATTAGAAGAGGGCTTATATAGTTTTTAGTAGATTCATATCATGCAGCCATTGAAATCTTTCTAAGGATTTCCTAATGATATGAAAATATCTGTGGAAATAGTGAAATTTAAAATTGGCTATACTAGATGAGCTCAACTCTATAAAGAACATTTTGCATAAGAATATGCATACAGTGGCAGGAAGTAGATAAGACCTATAAAGAGGAGTGGGAGTTACAGTCAGCAAAATTTGTCAGACTTGAAACAGGCAGAAGAGATGACTGGCAGTTTTTTCGTAGTGGCATTCTCGACATTGTCTAGTGAACCTTCTGATTCTATAGAAGTGTGTACCTTTAGTTGTTTTAGATTGATTAAGCTATTTATAACTCTGAAGGAGTAGTAGAGTTGTAGAAAACTTAACGGCAAATGCTGCCTGCTCCTAGCCATGAAGATACTTTTTCTTCATTAAAGTGTAAATGAATGGCCGGGTGTGGTCGCTCATGCCTGTAGTCCCAGCACTTTGGGAGGTCAATGTGGGTAGATCACTTGAGGTCAGTATTTCAAGACCGCCCCGGCCAACAGGGTGAAACCCCATCTCTACTAAAAATACAAAAGTAGCTGGGCATGGTAGCAGGCGCCTGTAATCCCAGTTACTCAGGAGGCTGAGGCATGAGAATCTCTTGAACCCAGGAGGCAGAAGTTGCAGTGAGCCAAGATCTTGACAGTCTGGACAACAGAGCAAGGCTCTGTCTCAAAAAACAAAAAACAAACAAAAAAAAGATCAAGTTGTATTAAAAAAATAAAAAAATACAAATGAATGTTGTCTAGTGGAGAATAAAACTCTTTGTAAGTCAAATTCTCATTTGAATTGACTTATTTCATTTATATTCACATTAATCAGTGAGTTAAATAAAATGAATGACATATGTTTATTTTATATTTACAGAGTCACAGTTTTGCCATTTTGAAAATTATGCATTTTCAATGTAATTAATGACCAGATATAAAACCTAGAATTAAAAAAAAAAAAATTATAGGCTGAACTTTGGGAGAATCCCAGAATTTTTGGAGGCTGAGGTAAGCAGATAGCTTGAGCAGGAATTTAACAACAACCTGGGCAATATGGCAAAACCCTGTCCCTATATATTAAAAAAAAAAAAAAAAAAACTAGACAGATGTAGTCATGTGCTCCTGTGGTCCCAGTTACTCAAGAGACTGAAGTGGAGGATCGCTTGAGCCTGTGAAGTACAGGCTGCAGTGAGTCATGATCACGCCACTACACTCCAGCCTGGGTGACAGATCCAGACTCTATCTCAAAAAAAAAACAACAAAAAAAAGTTAAAATATTTTTTAATTAAATTTTTTACAAATCTAAAAAGGTTTGCCAAGATGCTTATAAGTTTGCTAAATAATATAAATACTAAAATGGTTCAACAGCAATGCTAGTGTATACAAGTGTAACTATTTCATCAATCAGCATCAAATCTTGTATAATCTTGCATAATTATCTAATCTTGTATTCAGCACTGGATCTTCCATAATAGTCATGAAATAATTGGTCTTTGTAAATTTTATTTGATGGTCTTTCTTAACTATTAAATTTGAAGGTATTCCATGTTTGTTCATTGCTTTTAATCCTTTAATCCCTCCATAAATATGTAGCTTATTTTGATTTAGCCATTTGTATTGAAAATTGATTTGATACTTCTTTATCAGTTTACATTACGTACATATACAACATACATATTGAAATTTAAAACAGCAAGTTGTAATTCTGTCTCTTGTAATTATAACATAACCCAGATAATATACTCTTTGATCCCACTTTCTTCATTGACATTTATGGGTTGAAAGATTATTTATATTGACATGAGATTCTTAAAACAAAATTCAATTTTGAGATCATTGCCATGTGATTTTGCTACTCATATCAAGCTCCATAAAATCACTTTAAAAAATAAACATGTATAAAAATGTTGGTTAATATCTAAATACTAATTTAAAATCTGTAGTACTAAACCAAGCACCTATTCACAACCAGTCATATATTCTAACTAAACAACATTTTATTTTAATATTTAGAGGCAATAATGATCAGAGAAAAAAAAAAAACAGAATAAAAAAAATCTAGGCCAGGAACAGTGGCTCGCACCTGTAATTCTAGAACTTTGGGAAGCTGAGGCAATTTTTTAGTTTAGAGGCAACTTTTTTCTTTTTAACATCTTCTTTCTTTAAACTAATGAATGTAAGAGTACTGAAAAGTCTCTTTCCCAATTTATTTTCCAGTAAAATGTAATTTTCCGTTATTTTTAAAGCAAAATTAGATTCACTGCCCAAGTAACTGCCTTAATACTTTTGAATAAAATAACTTTTTACATAAAACTTTAAAAATTATTAGTAATCTGTCTTGTGATTATCAGTTCTTTTAAATTATTTTATAAAGAAGATTTTTGTAAACATGTACTTTGGTTAGAATGAATTATGTCAAAATAATCTATTAAAATAATCATGTTAGTTATTCTTTTGCCTCAATGAGACACCAAGACAGAATTTTCTCAAACTGTTTAGATCACTGGCATGAAATTTCACATTTAAAAGTTTTGATGGCTTTTATTTTTACTTTTCTCTATATTAAAAATTTTACTCAGCACATGTTAGTCCATTCTCACACTGCTATAAGGACATACCTGAGACTGGGTAATTTATAAAGGAAAGAGGTTTAATTGTGTCACAGTTCTTCAGGGCTGGGGAAGCTTCAGGAAACTTACAATCATGGCGGAAGGGGAAGTGAACACATTCTTCTTCACATGGTGACAGCAAGGAGAAGTGCAGAGCAAAAGGGGGGAAAGCCCTTATAAAACCATCAGATCTATGATAACTCACCCAGTATCATGAAAACAGATGGGGGAAACTGGAACTACAAATGAAGATGAGATTTGGGAGGGAACACAGCCAGACCGTATCACAGTATATACAGGATACTTTAGTCCAAAAATAATTTTAGCCAAAGTTACCGGCCAGATGCAACTATTAAATTGGAAAATATGCACAAAATGACATTCTGCAAAATAGACTTAAGTGAATTTTTAAAAACTGTTTTTCAATAAGAACTTCACGTGTTCTCATGAGTAATGAGCTACTGCTATAAAATACAAAGTGCAATGACAAACAACATCCATATCCAAGTTACAAACCAAAGGCCACCCATGTGGTCATGAAAGAGTTAAATGGAAAAACAAAACAAAACAAAACAGATCTTCCATATAGGGTCTGTAAAGAGGTCTCTTTCTCTCTCTCTCTCTGTCTTTGTCTCTCTCTCTCTCACACACACACACACACACACACACACACTTTCTCTTTTTCAGTAATAAGTGGGAAAGTTTGATTCTGTGTTCACACTGAAATTTTTCACTCTCAACTCAAAAGCAAGGCCATCTCTACTATGCTCCCTCATACCCTTCACTCCAGCAATGGTAGAGAGAAGTTGACGAATTACTATTCACTGCAGCAGACTATTTTTATGGAGCAAGGATTGTTCCACTCAAAGTCATCTGTTATTTTGGTTTAGAAACTAACAAATTGTGATTCACAATGTTAGAGCAAAAGCAAAAAATATCATAGTCATGACTCTACTTAAATCTGAATTTTAAGCAATTGTAGACTCTGGTGCAATCAGTGCTGACTATGGTTTTAAATCATAGGGAGAAGATTAATGAATAACAAAGATTGAAGTGATTACAAAGCAAAACAACAAAATCTTGAAAACACCTGGTCTGAGAGATTCCCTTTTCTATGAAGAGATAAACATTTTATCAATTCCCATATGGTAAAACTATTGGGACTATAATATAATTTTATATATATATAGATATATACACACACATAATTAATATATAAATAGTATACATAATATATAATGTATTTATACATAATATACATTTATATATTATATATTTACATATATAATTATATAATATATATAAATATTTAGCAAAACATAATTAGTTAAGTAGGAAAATACCAATGTAAAATAATGTAAAAAAACAGCTGACTGTGTGCAGTGGCTCACATCTGTAATCCTGGCATTTTGGGAGGCCGAGGCAGGTTGTTCATCCTGACCAGCCTGGCCAACATGGTGAAATCCCGTCTCTACTAAAAATACAAAAATTAGCCCGGCATGGTGGCAAGTGCCTATAATCCCAGCTACTCCGGAGGCTGAAGCAGGAGAATCACTTGAGCCTGGGGGGCAGATGTTGCAGTGAGCCGAGATCACGCCACTTCTCTCCAGCCTGGGTGAAAGACTGAAACTCTGTCTCTAAATAAATAAATAAAAGTAAATAAAACAGAGAATTGTGATCACATTCTAATTATATAATTGTCTAATTTAATTTTTCATGTGGTTTGTGCAATTAGTTCAGAGAAGAGAGATGTTAGTATAAATGTTGGTGCTTTTATTCATGTTATCAAAGTAACAGTGCAGATAAATATTTTGTGTAGAAATATATTTGAATGCTTAAAATATGCATGTCTTTAAAAAAATTCAAGTCATTGGTAGATTTGCTCATAATAGTATTTACCAATGTCATTTTTAATGTTGCCAATATCAAGGTTTATCAAGTAGCCGGTGTTTATGTCATTGAAATAGAGTTGGGGTTATAAATCATCTTTGAGCCATCCCTTAAATAACTTAAAATCTAATTAATCAGCTTTTAATCTTCAAGCATAATAAAAAATGGAATTTGGAATATGACCGAGGTTGCTGTCAAGACCAAATATTCTAATTTTTTAATACAGTGAACATATGATTGGTGTTGACACATATCCTTAGTGTTTCCAAACATAACACACACACACACACACACACACACACACACACACATTCTATTGTTATCCATAGCCACAGTTATTTTTTTGAAAAATCTCCATATGAAATACTATTTGGAAAAGAATATTAGGTATTTTAAAATTCGATAGACTGGTGGTTATACAATGTTCACTCAAATACAAATTTAATGGTATATTGTAAAATACTTTGTAAACTATCAAGTCTGAGTCAAATCTAGCTATTATTGGAAGATAGATGCCTACTATATCTAGTTGATTTTATGAAATATTTTTTGTAATGTATTTAAAACCAATTAGGAATAAAGAAGTGCCTGGAAATAATCCCATAGTTGGAAATAATCTTAGAATTCATAAACTACTCAATGAAAACTGCTAAAAAGTCAAATCTATCTGTATATTTAGAATAAATGAAGTTAAATATTTGCAAAGTGTGCAGTCAATTCCTTGCACATTAATGTATTTGTATTTAAATGTTATTAATTTGATTTGTGTAAGCTCTCTTTAAGCTTTCCAACCATGCTAGAAATTTTATGCTTTACTAGCCTTCTAGCTTATTAGAAAATCAAACCTTCTATCATTCCAGGTTCCCAGGTAATTGCATTCCATCCTCCGTGATGGTGAGCACTTGGCTAATATACAATCACTCATTTCTTAAATGTTCTGTAGGCATTCATCAAAGGAATCTTATTGGAACACATCTTCATTTTGAGCAAAGAGATAGCTTATATATCTATTTAAAGCAGTATTGTTGGGCAGCATACAAGATCTGACCATAGTTTCTAATAAATACACTATTATCCACATGGGACAAGGGTAGGCTAATTTGTAAGACAGCTTGTATCAACCCTTGGGGAAAAATGTTATGCATCTAGTGATTAAATCTTGGAAAGGCAGATAAAGTTTTTTTGATGGGAAAGTTAATATTTAAAATTCAAATTAAATTAGCAATTAAGTTGAAAGATGTGTTAAAATATAGTCTGGATTATAACAAAATAATGGATAACATTGTTGTGATTTTGAAACACAAGAGATTCAGAATTAACCTCCAAATTCAGTTTAAACAAGATGGCTTAATCAGCTCAATTAATCTTCTAAAAAAATACAACTTACATAATGGCCAAATATTGATTCATGAACAAATGTTCGTAAAATTCAATAATCTCTGAAATCAAACTTGTTTACTTCAACAAAGAGTCTTACTCATCAGTGGTTATACACTATTAATCGCAATGTTTAAATTAACTCAGAATCTCTTACAATCAGTATACAATTTGTATATTAGATTAAAGGAACATAGTTTTGAACTATTTAATGTACATTTGTGTGATAAAGTGGCACCACCTAACTTTAAGGGCTATATTTCCAGATTTTGCTGTGAGAAAATTTGCAGAAAAGGAATATGAGGCCAACAGGAAAAAAAGTGTCAGCAAGATTGAAGATGTGAATAAATTTATGCAAACTATATAGGCAATTTTATTTACTAAAATGAAGGAATAAATATAAGTACTAAATAAAAATAAAAATTGTGATACTTATGTCAGTTTTATGGTAGTGATTTTTAATTACCTTTCTCTAATTTTTTTGAGATAGAGTCTCGCACTGTTGCCTAGGTTGGAGTGTGCAATGGCGTGATCTCGGCTCACTGCTACCTCCGCTTCCCGGATTCAAGCGATTCTCCTGCCTCAGCCTCCCTGGTAGCTGAGATCACAGGTGCCCACCACTACACTCGACTAATTTTTTTTTGTATTTTTAGTAGAGACGGGGTTTCACCATGTTAGTCAGGCTGGTCTCGAACTCCTGACCTCAGGTAATCTGCCCGCCTCGGCCTCCCAAAGTGCTGGGATTACAGGCGTGAGCCACCGCACCCGGCCACCTTTCTCTAAGTTTTAAAAGAATATTGCTTCCTACTATATAAAAGTATGTGCTCACATTAATTTTGCTTTAATATTGGTATTTAAAAGTATGCTAAGAATTTTATGTATATTTGGCATCAGCTAAAATAATTAATTCCCTTCTAACATTACCTCATTCTGATCAATAGACTTTATAATTCTTGTCTCTAGAGGCACAAATTGGCTTTAAAATGTGGCATGTTTTTATCTGCTTGCATTTAACAAATATGGCATTGCTGAAGAGGTTCTAAAGCATCAGCTCTGAATTTTGATGCCTCCCCTTTCTCCTCACCCTCTTTATTTCATTTCCTTTGTTGCCCACAAAGTATTTATGCCACTAAAACTAGATAGTGGGGCAGGTTAGAGAGTTTGTTCCATTTTCTTAGAATACAATGTGCTTGGTATCATTGGAATGATGGCTTAATGGAGAAAGCATTGAGCTGGGGACAGAAAACTTCCATCTAAACCCAGCTCTTCTCTTATGTCCCTTCTGGATTTACGATTCTGTTAAAAACTAAAATAAGATTCCCCTTTACTACAAATGTAAGTGTTTAGTGTGTGCAAAGACATGGGAATATATCAGTCTAAACTTTTTTATGCAAAGATAAACACCCACTGAAGCAATAATGTTAAAACAAGGCTTCACAGATGGCTGCGTGCTATAGTGGCAGCAAAGCATTATGAGCTTTCTCCCTTTCTTTTCATGGTCTTGAGCTTACACATCTGGTTGGATGAAATGCATGACAGAAGGTGTTTGAAGGACTATACTTCAGAGAGAATTCGATCAGTAGACAGTTCATGAATATTTTTAATACTTTCAAGATTGAAACTTTTCACTCATCAATTTTACTTCAAAGAACATAGTTTTCATCTAAATTTTTTAAAGCAAACTGCTGTAATATTTATTTATATTGAAAACGAAGCTTCATCAGACCGTGATATACTTTCAAACATTTGTTTTATGTCATTCTTAGTAGCTAGAAATACAACACATATTTGATATATATAAGAACCATTTTAAGGATATATGCCTACCTGTCTAAATTAGCATGGTGATTCGGAGTATTATTATAATGTCATGATTTGCAAATGTGATTCATTATAAACTATGTTGAGTGTTATCATTCTGTTTAATTCTAATCATTCTCAATGAATCGGTCCAATATATTTATATTGTATATCATAGCTTTCTCAGAAATTGCTATCTGATTAGTCTTCTATAAGTTTGTTTTAGGAAATTTTACTGAATGAGAACTATGTCTTTGGCTTATGTAGTGTTATAATTTAAATCAAAGTAAGGAACAAAGATGGCAGAAGAACTTCGTCTCCTAGTGCATTTCCAAAAATGTTTCTGAGAAATATTATTCTATGAGATGTGTTCTGAGGTCAAATAATTTTGGAAATTATTGAATCTCCTTAGTGATGCAATGATGCATATTTTTGTGCACCAGCTACAAGACTGGAGAAGCAGAATTAATGCAATTTCCAGTTAGATATTCTTTAATCTGCAGAGTTTATATATTTTGCAGTGCAATAAAATAATAAACACTTTAAATACAATGGAGAATAATTTACCTTAAAGACATAATTATTCTAATAAGCTCTCTATTTCTTTTTATTAATTTCCATTTAGTTCACTTATGCTTTAACTGCATTAAACTTGTTGCCAGAATATTAACAGAAATTGTGTTTTCAGTCCCTGAGGATGGCATATATCTTTGCAATACTCAAGGTGTAGCAACACTAGTATGGCTGGAATGCAGTGAGTGAAGGCAGGGGGGTGAGGTCAGAGACTTAGCAGGATGCCAGATCATGTAGGGTTTGTAAGGCTTATTATGGTATGGAATTTTGAATACTAGGAGGAGTCATGGAAGGGTTTCAAACAAAAAAGTCTCCTTAAACTTTGAAAGAATTGTTGCGACTATATTTTAGTGTTTGAATGGATAAATGGGTCATTATATTATAAGGGTCATTATCCATTCAAACATTAAAATATAGCAGTGGTCTATTCATGACATTCTCTGCTTAATTACCTACTTTTTTTGGGAGATACTCAATATATGTTTTATTTGTTAGGAAGGTGAACCTGGAAGTACTTGTTTTACAAATAGCAATTTTTAAGGGTTAAATGAGGTAATATTTGTGAAGCACTTAACAACAGGATCTGGTACAAAGGGAATGCTAAATATAAGTATGTCCTGGATACCTGTAACCATCTTTTTCTGTGCATAAGTATGATAATGTAATGCCAAGACAGTTTGTTAAAATATAGATTCTCAATTGACAACCTTTATTGGACCCTTGGAACTGTCCAACAATCAAACTATATTTCCTTATTATTATTCTTTATTATTTCCTTCAGCCACTCTTCTTGCTTTCTTAATTCTCCTAAAGACATTTACCTTTTCTTTCAACTTATATCCTTACCATTTATTGTGGAAAACAAAGGATTGTAATAATTGTCCACCAATATTAAACACTTATTTTGCTAGAAACTCTTTAAAGTACATTTTATTGGTCTTCTTAACAACTCACCTAATCAAGTTATATTTTTTATTGCTATTTAATAAAATGAGGAAATTGACACACAGAAAGGTGTAAGTAACTTTCCCAGGCTTACACAGCTACTAAGAGGCAAAGCAGGAAATTCAGATTCAGACTCAGCCTGACCAAAGAGTTTGACTCTTAATCATTCTCAATACTAATTTGAAAATCCTCTCAGCATCAGCACTTACTGCAGGGATCCTGCTATCAGCAAAGTCCAATCTGTCTTCATATTTCCTGGATTTTGATTCTTCCATTATTCATCTTCTGTTTCTCCAGCTGTCCCATGCTAATGGCTCATCCGATGAATATTCAAGCGTGTTCTAGTATTTTGCATATCTGCAAGTCTTTTCTGGTAGCAATAATTTTTATCAGAGACAATCATCTTAAAGTATCCATTAGTCTTCAGTGTCTGTTTCTTTAATTTCTGTTTTCTTTTGAAATGAATTTTTGATTTTCCAACTAATAGTAAATACATTCATAATTTAATGTTTATCCTCCCAGATCTCTCTCTCTTTCTCTCTCTGTATATATAAATATATGTGTGTGTGTGCATGTTATATATAAACATAACAAGTGTGTTATGTATACATAAACAAGTCTTATTTAATTATTGTTTATGCATAAATGTATATAAATCTTAGGAAATGTTTAATGTTTAGGGTTTAATTTACATATACACATACTTGAAGGGTATGATATTCCACATAGCATGATTTTTTATTATTATACTTTAAGTTAGGGGATACATGTGCAGAACTTGGAGGTTTGTTACATAGGTATACATGTGCCATGTTGGTTTGCTGCACCCATCAACCCATCATCTACATTAGGTATTTCTCCTATTGCTATTCATCCCCTTGCCCCCTGCCCCCTGACAGGCACCAGTGTGTGATGTTCCCCTCCCTGTATCCGTGTGTTCTCACTGTTCAACTCCCACTTATGAGTGAGAACATGCAGTGTTTGTTTTTCTCTTCATGAGTTAGTTTGCTGAGAATGATGGTTTCTAGCTTCATCCCTGTCCCTGCAAGGGACATGAACTCATTCTATGTCCATGTATTCATATGTGGCTACATACATCAATACACATCTGTTTAGTTATAAAACTTGTTTTAGTAATTCTTAGTTATTAGCGTTGCCGTATGAGTTTAAGAATAATATTCTCAGTTTCTATGAAAAAAGTCCAATTGTGATTTTTATTTTGGGTGCCTTGGATTGAAATTTATAGGTTAATTTAGAGACGTTTAACAACCTGACAATATTGAGTCTTTCTGCCCACAAGCATATTATATCTCCCCAAAGGGTTGTGCATGCTTTATGTCTTTTATAAGGGTTTATTATCCTTTTCTTTGTTGAGGTCTTATCTAATTTTTGTTTGATTTCTGGCCTTCACTACTTTCTTCTGTTTTACACCATCTCAGACAAGCATGTAAAAAATATTACTATCACATTTTTCTAGCATTTTTAGATATTATCCAAATAGCTAGTGCACTATAGCATTAAAACCAGAAGTTTGAAGGCTCTGCAAACCACATCAGGCTGGCTTTTTCTTGAACTACTCTAAAGAAACAGCCCTTGATAACTCCAGTAATTACCTCCATGTTGTGAAACATAATTGTTAATATTCATTCAACTTATTAGTCTCCCCAGTACCATTTGATAAAGGTGTCACCTAGATTTTGTAAACATTTCCTCTATTTGTTTTTCAAGACACTTTATTCCCTGTCTACCTGAAAAAAAAAAAAAATCTCTGCTACTCCTTCTCAACCACTTGCCCTATATTATCTTCCTATCTGGTCTCTAAATACTAGAATTTCTCAGAACTCAGGTCTCGGTGCTATTTTTTTATTTAACTATAGTCTTTAACAAGGTATCTCTCCTATCACCATGCTTTGCTTGTCTTCTATAGTCGTATGATTCTCAAATTTATCTATTTAGTGTCATTGTCTTCTTCCCCATATTTACTTGAATGTATCATTCTATCTCAAATTAAATGTATCTGAAGTAAATTCATCATCACGTCACCACATTTAAATTTCTTCCATGATTTCCTCTTTTTCCTTATCTCAGATAATTTGACTTCCTGCTTTATATTGTCCGTTGATAGCACTGTTTCCACTCTTTTCTGTGTGGTAGGGGCTAGACACCTGTATATTACTGTGATGGTTGATTTTACATGTCAACTTAACTATGCCCTGGGCTGCTCAGATACTTGGGCCAACATTATTCTGGGTGTTTCTGTGAGGGTGTTTTTAAGTGAAATTAACATTTAAAGTGATAAACTGAGTAAAACAGATGGCCTTTCCTAATGTGGGTGGGCATCATTTAATCAGTTGAAGGCATGAATAGAACAAAAAGTTTGACATCGCTGAGTAAGGAACAGAATCCTCTGGTAACAGCCTTCAGACTGGAATATTGGCCTTTCTTCTGCCTTTAGACTTAAACTAAAATATCAGCTCTATGTTAGTCTGTTCTCATGCTACTAATAAAGACATACCTGAGACTGGGTAATTTATAAAGGAAGAAAGTTTAAAGGACTCACACTTCCACATGGCTGGAGAGGCCTCATAATCATGGCAGAAGGCAAAGGAGAAGCAAAATCACATCTTACATGGCAGCAGGCAAGAGGGCTTGTGCAGGGGAACTCCCATCTATAAAACCATCAGATCTCGTGAGACTTATTCACTACCATGAGAACAGCACCGGAAAGACCTGCCCCCATGATTCAATTACCTCCCACTGGGTTCCTCCCAAAACAAAATGGGAATTATGGGAGCTAAAATTCAAGATGAAATTTGAGTGGGGACACAGCCAAACCATATCAAGCTCTTTCTGGGTCCCAAGGCCACTGACCTTTAGACTGGAACTACATGGGCATTCCTGGTTCTCAGGCCTTCAGACTCAGACTGAGATTAAAACATCAGCTATCCTGGGTCTCCAGTTTACTGACTCACCCTACAGATCTTGGGATTTGCTGGCCTCCATAACTGGAGGAGCCAATTCCTTATAGTAACTAACAAAATATCTCCTATTGCTTTTGTTTTCCTGGAGAACCCTGACTAATACAAGCACATTTTCCAGACTGTCTCTCATCAGTATGATTTTTCATTCAATGAGATGCGTGTAAAAGAATATTTGAAATGTGAAAACAGAAACATCGTGTTTTCCAGCAGCAGCTAAATCAGGTAAATGAGTGTAGAAATAAACATAAACCACCCAAATGAGAAGTAAAAGTTGTTTATTCAGAGCAATGGAGTCAGGAATTATCACTTGTATTTGGCAAAGACTTAAAGGCAGGCAGTGGAGTGTGAAGCTTTACGGTGGAAAAAGGGGAAGGCTTCGGTTGTGCCCTGATTGGAGGCTGTTGCCATGGAGAAGCTGTAGATAAGCTAACTAGAACCAGGACATCCAATGTGATTGGTTATGTGTGCATATTTGACTTTCTTCATTTGGTCCTAAGTTGCAAGCAGACGCAAAAATTAAGGAAGCCGTCAGTCAATGAAGTGCTGGCTGTTTTTCAGCTAGTTGCTATGGGGTTGTTTTTTGGCTTTCTGGACTGGTTGCTGCAGAGGTGGGTCAGAGCTCTACTTTCATATATGGTCTGGCCATTGTGTTTGTATATTCCGGCTCATAGTCACCCCTTTTGGTCATTCTCTTACTTTCAAGAGGTTAGCCAATTTAAGGAAAGCTGCAAATCCAGCTCTTTACCACTCAGAGATTATTCAGTAAACTTCATATAAAACTGTATTACAAAATATTCTTGACCTTTTTGTTGTATTATCATAGTGATTTTCTGACTAGAGAGCAGATGTGCAGAACCTTTTAAAAATCTAGATAGCACGCAGCATCATGCCTCTCTCACAAAGCCAGAATGATTAATAGTTCCTATAAGGTGATTTGGAACTAGGAACCTCAATTGCCAAATCAAGGCCAAAATAACAAATTTGATAGACCATGAAGATTAACCTTAGAGAGCCAAATAGCTTATACTTTAAAACAATATATAAATAGTTCCAACTTGCTTGTTTCTTTGATCCAAGTACAAGAAGTATGAGCAATGGCACAGACACCAGGATGACTAAAAGACAAAAAAAAAAATTAGGGTAATGTTATTGTCTATCACTACCCATGCCAATGAGTTGAGATTGATCTGTGTTTCTACCTCGGACAAAGGCAATATCATCAATAACTTCTGCCAGAGTGAGTGTCTTAGTCTATTCAGGCTGCTGTACTAAAATGACATAAATTGGGTGGCTTATAAACAACAGAAATGTATTTTTTTCAGTTCTAGAGGCTGAGAAATTCAAGATCAAGGTGCCAGCAGACTCCATATGTGGTGAAAGCCTGTTTCTTATAGATGGCATCTTCTATGTGTCCTCATATTGCTGAATGGGTGAACAAGCTCCTTTGGGACTCTTTTATAAAGGCACTTATTCATTAGGACAGAGGCCTCTAACCTAATCATCTCCCCCAATTCACATCTCTCAGTACCACCACATTAGGGATATTCATCAGGGATATTGGTCTAAAATTCTCTTTTTTTATTGTGTCTCTCCCAGGCTTTGGTATCAGGATGATGCTGGCCTCATAAAATGGGTTAAGAAGGATTCCCTCTTTTTCTATTGATTGGGGTAGTTTCAGAAGGAATGGTACCAGCTCCTCTTGGTACCTGTGGTAGAATTCTGCTGTGAATCCGTCTGGGCCTGGACTTTTTTTTGGTTGGTAGGCTGTTAATTATTGCCTCAATTTCAGAACCTGTTATTGGTCTATTCAGAGATTCAACTTCTTCCTGATTTAGTCTTGGGAGGGTGTATGTGTCCAGGAATTTATCCATTTCTTATAGGTTTTCTAGTTTATTTCCATAAAGGTGTTTATAGTATTCTCTGAGGGTAATTTGTATTTCTGTGGGATCGGTGTTGTTCATTATGATCACAAATACTTATTTTCTATTTAATATGGCAATAAATTACACACAAATAGAGCTTAGCAATCTTTTAAAGCAGCTAATATTAGTAATTTTTATACATATTTTTAATTAAAAACAAAATTTATCCTTTTTTATTATTAAAAATCTATAAAATCGACAATTGCAAAGTTAAAATTGAGGAAGCAATTACAATAAATTGTAGAGATATTTTTAAAGATCCTAAAACAAACTTCATTAAAAAGGATAGTTGAACTAGTTTACACTCTCACCAACAGTATAAAAGTGGAAACTTCAGAAAGCAGAAGTAGAGATTATACCCTTTAGTTTATCTAAAAACATACTTGCCATATTTTTTTTCTGTTGGTAATGTTTACTCTAAAGCTTTTTAGTACATATCCATCTAGGGAATGTGGGAAAGGGAAGCATTAGAATCATTTCTAATCTCTGTTATTTGTCAGACCTGTGCTCCAGGACAGCAAAAGTGAGAAAATATTCCTGATTGTCCTGGTGTGAAATCGAGGCTGCTTTGCTGGAATTTTCACTTTTTCCCCTTTAAACGTAAAGCAATTTTTATACCTAGCTTGATAAAACAGTAACAAATGTGATATTACATTGCTTCTTGAACTAATAATGCATCAGGGACTGTAGCTGTAATAATGTTTTGATCTAATCTTGAAGAAAGGCTAAGTCAGAACAAGAAGAATTAGACATAATTAATTCACCAGCCCATGGCAGAACAAAACAAGTATTCTAACATCATGTACCATAATATGGATATCAAACAATTTTGGATCAAAGAAAAATATTATGACTTGAGATCATTCAGATTGAATAGAAATATGAAGGCTTTAAAATACGTACCAGAGTAAATATAGACTTTCTTACATGTAGAGGTATAATACTGGTTATAATCTTAGATTTTTGTTTTAATTTTAAAAAATTTGTTAAGCATATGATTATATATAATTTAGCAGGTAGTTGAGTTCAATAATTGTTTAAATTAAAATAAAAAACACCACCTTTTAAAGTATTTAAAATATTCATATTTCATTTTTATACATTTTCTATAACAGCAATAGAAATAATAACAACAATAATTTACATATGTAGAGTGTTTAATAAGTGCCTAGTATAATTATAAGAATTTTAACGTATATTATCCACATCACACAGTAACTTACACAGAGTTAACAAATTCCCTTCTAGGTTCAAAGAATTTACATCACCAACCAGATCTTGTGAATTAGGTTAATGAAAGATGTTTTAAAAATCAAGATGTTCTATATATTACCGATGAAACAAAAGGTTAATGTGTCAGTTGCTTCTTATGGTGGCTCCTAATTAGATAGCTCAAATCTATTTTAGCTGTTTTCTATCTTTCAATCAGCATCTGTGGGCACCTGTTGATTACTGCTCCCAGCTCTGGCACCCAGTCCACAAATTCATACCAACCGTGTTTGCCCACACTGAGCAGCGTGCATAAAATGAAGAGGAAATAGATTCTGCCTTGACTTTAATATTTATGCTGCTCATAGGGATCTCCCTATCCATTTAAAACTCTGAACAAAGGCTCCTATGTGCATACTAGGACTTGAATGTTTCCTTTCATGTAGTCTGACTTTGGGGATTGGGCTTTCAGTTAGTTATACCTCTCTGGTTCTGTCAGATTATAATGAGGCCACACTGTATCTTCTTTCTTGCCTCATGTTCCATTTAATCCCAGAATCCCGAATGCTGAACATAACATAGACCTTTGTATTTCACTCATGTATTCATTCAGTTATTGAAAAACATTTATGAAGCGTTTTCTTTATAACTCATGCCATGATAAATGTGGCAAATACAATGATGTTAACATAGGTATTGCCTCTTAAAGCCATTTCCTTTAAGAGATAAATGCCTGTTTATTTCCCTCTTGCCGGGAGAACATTAATTTCTATAAAATTTCCTATCCTGAACTCTGTGGCATTCCTTATTTCCTGATCAGAGGTCATAAGGTATCATGGATCAAAGAGTTTTAAAAGCACTGAATAATTAAATTTCAGTAAGGTCATCCACACTTTCCATTGTGCCGTAAAAAACACAGATTATTCATTTATATTTCTACTGTAAAGGAGATCTAAATACAGAAAATTCTTTAATCTATTACTATTTTTCTTATAGGAGCGAGTGATTATATTAACTATCATATTAAAATTTTGTAGGCAATTTAGATTCTTTATTTTTCTAGAAAAATATGTTTATTGGAATTATTTAAAGAGAAAAATATGGGACTTCATATTTTTAAGTGCAAGCACAAGGAACAAAAAGTATGCAGACCGAATGGCCCTAAAAACTTTTGGCCATTCCTAAACACTCTACATACATGATGTCCTTTCAAATTCAGTGGAAATATATGTTGTCTTTCCACATTCCCTTTCATAAACTGAGGTGTAAAGCAGTTTAGTAACTTGACTGAGGTTAACTAAATGATTTTGTCAAGATGGCAGGTATATTTTATTATAAGAAAAAAATGAGTCATGAAAAACAGAGTATGAATCCAGTTTAATTCTTGGAATGATACAAAAATTATGTTTTTATAAGCTTTTTTAAATAATAATAACTGTTGACATTTAAGCCAGGGGTCCACCAGCATTTCTGTTAAGTCTAGATAGATATTTTAGACTCTTTAAGCCATGCAATCTTTGACACAATCCTGATCTTGTAGCTTAGAAGTCATAGACAATACTTAAACTAATGTGCATTACTGCATTTTGAAAAACTGTATTTACAAAGACAGGTGGTGGGCTGAATTTGGAGTCCCACAGGCCATTGTTTGCTGACTCCTACTTTGGAGCTGGGTCAAAGAGTATGTGAATTTAGAGTTTGATAGACACTGAGAAATTGCTCTCTCTAGAAGTTTCACCAAGTAGGCTACCAAGCAAAATAATTGGGAATATCTTCCCATTTAAATTACTGACTGACAAATGGTAAGCTCACTGTTGATTATCTCATTATATTAATCTTAGTTTCTTTATAAAAACAAAAACCTGAGATTGATTTTAATGATTTATTATAGGATACAATCCCAAGGCTGAGACAAAAACAATAACAATAAAAATATGAGACAGGCAGGCAAATGTAAAAAGCAAACAAAAGATAATATTTTCTTCATCATTTTGAGCTGATATAACTAAGTACCATAAATTGGATGGCTTCTAAACAACAGAAAATTATTTTTCCTACTTCTAGAGGCTGGAATTCCAAGATCAAAATGCCAACATTATTGGGTTCTAGTGAGGGTCTGCTTCCTCATTCATAGACAGCATTCTCACTGTGTCCTCACATGATGGAAAGAGCAAGGGAGCTCTCTGGGGTCTCTTTCATAAAGGCATTAATCCCATTCATGAGGGCTGTAATGATTATTACATCATGATTTAATCACAAAGGCCCAACACTTAATACCTTCGTCCTGGCATTATGATATCAACATGTTAATTTGGGGTGGACACAAACATTCAGTCCATAATAATGTGTTATCAGGCTGGTTGATATTTCATGAAGAACATGTGTTTCATGCTTACAAGACAACTCTGAGGAAAACGTATATAAGAAATTATTGCTTCAGGGGGAGTAATAGACAGGCAATTTATTAATCAACTTCCTCTGGTGTCCTGTGTTTCATCTGTCAAAGTTTGTTCTAGGGGATTTTAGTTCTCCTGTACTTCTGAATTGTATCACCTGGTATCTTAAGCAGCTTCTGGGAAGCCAGATCTTTCTTCACATTCTTTGGTAATTCATCTGAGCCCAGAGACTCCAGATATTTGCTTTAGGTGATACAAGCATATAGGCCTCAACAGAGTGGTTACTTACACAGAATTATGAGGAAGTAAGCATCCAAAAGCCAGAACATCATAAGGTTGAGATAATTTTAGGTAAAGCTTAAAATGTGTCACTCCTTGCAACATTCACAATTGCTTGAAATGTCCTTTCATTATGCCAAGATCCCATACTATTTTTTTTTTTAAGAATAGCAAGCCCCCAAGAGGAAATCTAAAGCCTAATCAGTCATAATATCCACTTCAAGATGGCGGTTAATTTTGATCTTCTAGAGAACTTAAAACGGTTAAAGAAGTCATCTGTAATACTTGCTTCTGCATCTCCTCTTGAGCAATTAATTGATATTTCTTATCTTTCTCTTGAATCATCCATTCTAGATTTCTGAAAATTTGCAAAAGACTTTAGCTTGTCTCAGAGCTTGCCAAGAAAAGAAACCTAGAAGTTTATTTCTTAAGGGTCTGAATCTTTAATTACCATGTTCTTATTGGTTTATTATTGAAATTTCCATAAAGAATTTTCAAGGAACATGGAATAATGAGTGACTTCTCTTTACTTTATATGTAAATAAATTTCCCCAATTGATTGGTTAGTGTCTTAGTCCGTTTTGTGCTGCTATAACAGAATAGTCGAGACTAGGTAATTTATAATGAATGGAAATATATTGGCTCATAGTTCAGGAGACAGAGAAGTTCAATATCAAGACACTGGAATTTGTCAAGGGCCTTCTTGCTGGGCCATGACATGGCAGAAGGCAAGAGGGTGAGAGACGGCAAGAGGGGGTCAAGTTACTTTTTTACAAAGGAACCCATTCCTCTCAGGAGGGTAGAGCCCTCATAGCCTAATCAACTCTTAAAAGTCCTACCTCTTAATTGTGTTACAACAGCAATTAAATTTCAACGCAACAGACATTCAAACCATAGTAGATAACATCCATCATAGATCCTCATTGTAACCAGGACACCCAGCCTGCACAGCAAATACATTTTGTCTGCTTATCAATAGCATTAGAACCTAGTTGGTAGATTGTAGTTATCAATTCTATTTCAGTGAAATTTTTTTCTGTGTTCCCCTTGGAGAAATGTTGCTCCTAACAATCAGAAACAGAGACTGAGTTTGTGAGGAGAGAATTCCACAATATGGACATTTTGAAATATAAATTATTTCTACTTTCACCTTTATTTTCTCAATTCATATTAAGTTACAATCTCATTATATTGGCCATTGTTTCAACATATGTGCTGTTACCAGAAGGACAGTTTCTCAACACTGAAAGTATAGTGCTCGAGCTGATACCTTAGTAACACTTTCAGCCATTCAGTTAATAGTTTTTAAAAACTGATCCTAGGCTATTTCACATGGCACAACCAGTGAATCCAATAGTCGTGAGCCTATTGAACCAACTCCTTTGCCATAAAATGAGCTTCTTAATTTCAGACAATGTTGTATGGATTATCATGTTGATGGATGTGTTACTTTGTAACCCTTAACTAAAGCTGTTTAGGGAGGTCCCATGTGTGGAAAATCAAACCCATATCTACACAGTTTATCATGTCTACTATGGATGAATGACTTTCATTTTGTGTCAATGCATTTGATTGTAATAGGTGTATGCCCGGTCTCCCTGAGTAACAGTGTGATAGCAAAGACAGCGTCCAATTATACTGGCAAGTCAGACATAGACTAGTGGAAATAACTAGATCATTTTGGATGAGAAGGCATCTGTATTATTGGGCCTGTGCATAACCTTTTGTGCCACCATGACATTTATGACTTTTCTGTGCTAACACTGGGGTGACCTGAAGAGAAACTGGATGACTTTTAAAAGGTATGTCATCTGTTCTGTTGAAAGGTGTGATCAATTTAGTGCTCAGAGATCTATCCTCTGAAAGGATTTCTGTTCTCCATCATGTTACTGGGCTGTCCTGTGTGGGCCTATAATGAAGAAGATGTGCAGTTTTCAATAGTGCTACCATAAACCAACCCATACGTGAGTCATACCCCAGTATATTTCTCTACCATTAATTAGTCATAAGGAAACTCCTTTTGTGAATATAGTGTGAGTTAGGGAGGTGATATAGGTGTCTGTAATTTATAATGCTTTCTAGAGTTACTTGGGGTTAACCAGAATATACTACTCCTAGGCCACAAGAGGTTGTTGCTGAGATTGACTAACCTTTATGTACCTAAGGACATGCACCTCATTGAAAGTCATTCTGTCCCATGGACTGACACTTAGTTTTTACTATGGTCCAGTAACAGACATGGAAATTTTTAAGTGATGAGAAGGAGAAAATTGCTTAACCTTTCTCCAGAAACCTAGGGACTCATCCCTTTGGGCTACCCAAAACTCCACACACTCCTGTTCCAACACCGATTCCTATAGCTTTATAAAATATACTGAATTATTTGGGTTGAGTTTTAGAGAAGCTTATACTGCCACCTGGACTTTATGCAGTGCCCTCTCGTTATTTCGATTCCACTCAAGATTAGCAGTCTTTTTTAAATTTAATTTTGTTTTTTGAGACAGAGTCTTGCTCTGTCGCCCAGGCTGGAGTGCAGTGGCGCGATCTGGGCTCACTGCAAGCTTCGCCTTCCGAGTTCACGCCATTCCCCTGCCTCAGCCTTCTGAGTAGCTGGGACTACAGGCGCCCGACACCACGCCCAGGTAATTTTTTGTATTTTTTAGTAGAGACGGGGTTTCACCGTGTTAGCCAAGATGGTCTCAATCTCCTGACCTCGTGATCCACCCCCCTCGGCCTCCCAAAGCGCAGGGATTACAGGCGTGAGCCAAGCAGCCTTTTGAATAAACTAAAAAAGACAGGTTGGAGCAGTGTTTCCAAATGTTTGCTAGCTACAAATCTAAAGAGACTTATCAAGTGCTGTGAATTATGCTTGGTGATGAGAGATAAGAAGAGTGATGGCATCTTTTAAGAGAAAAGAAATATTCTAAGATATTTCGGACCAAAGGACCTTCTCAAAATTTTACTTACAATTGATCTCTGAATCTTTGTGTTCTACACCTGCCGTGGTTTGATTTTTTCTGTAAATATCATGTATTGAAAACTTAATTCCCCAAATCATATGTCAATGGGAATCAGATTTGATGCCATTGGAAGATAACTAGGATTAGATAAGGTCAATAGAATGAGGCCCATAACGGGACAGGTGGTTTTATAAGAAGAGGAAGAAAAGCCCTAACTGACATGCTATTGCTCTCTCACCATGTGATACCCTTCACTAAGTTAGGACACGGCTCTCACCAGATACGCCTCCCTGACCTTGGACTTCTCAGTCTCTAGGAACCAGACCAAAATAACTTATTTTCTTTATAAATCACCCAGTCTCAGGGTAATTTGTAATTATAGCAAAAGAAAATGGACTAAAACACTCCAGACTCACTGCCATGTATGTAATTACTAGAACATTTAAGACATTTCTTATGTTATTAGTAGTCTAATTAAGAGAATATAATTTATAAATGGGCAAGAGTGCTATTTTGTGAAATTCCAAAACAATCAAGACTTCTGAGCTACTCTGTTAGATAAAGTAGGAGCACTCATTGCCATGAGGCAAGACTGTAAAGATATACTGTTGTCCATTTCATCTAAAAGTAAACTGCTTTAGATACTTCCTGTTTATGGATATGGAAAACAAAAGAGTCAGTGATTAGTTATTTCATGTCAAATGCCGTACTCTGTGTTGCTGATCTCCACTAACAATACCTTTGTTAGATTAATTTATTTGAGAAACAAACAATAAGACAGGATTAATCAAAGATTTTATTAGAGAGATGACTGTGAGAGTAATTGATGGTGGGCGAGGGGAATCAGAAGGCTGGGAAGGCTAGCAGATCATGAGTTAAGTTGAATTTTCCGGTTAGAATGGATGGCCAGGCACTTGGAAGTGACTTGGCTGGAAAATCAGTGTTGAGGAGGTCTGGTAAGAGGTGTGTATAATAGACCTTTCTGAATGGGCAAATAATGTGAAAATATTTGTTTTCACTGAGATGCTTGGTAAACAGTGACCTCTGCAGAGGATGATTACAATAATCAAGTTGATAGGATGACTTTTTCTATGGATACCAGTCATGATTCCCCAGTTTTTTCAGTGACTTCTCAGTGGTTTCATTGAGCCCTATCTTCAAATGCTTTCAACATATGACTTTAAAATGGGTTTAGAAACCACCATGGCACATGTATACCTATGTAACAAACCTGCATGTTCAGCACATGTATCCCAGAACTTAAAGTAAAATTGAAAAAAAAAAAAATCAGTTTAGAAAAAGTGGCCATGGTGGCAAGGATGGAAATTATGCATGGGCCCAGCAACGTGGACTTCCAGTCACCATGGTTGACCTGGCTAAAGCCATCGCTCAGTGCTCAATTTGCCAGCAGCAACGATAAACACTGAGGCCCTCACATGACACTCAAAGGTGATCAGCCAGCTTTCTGATGGCAAGTTAATAACATGAGACACTTCTGTCATAAAAGAGGCAGCATTTTGTTCTTGCTATATTAGATACTTTGGATGTGGATTTGTATTCCCTACATGCAATCCTTCTGCTAGAACTACCATTCATGGGCTTACAGAATACATTTCTATCATCATGGTATTTCACACAACATTGATTCTAAGGAATTCACTTCATGGCAAATGAAGTGTGGCAGTGAAACCACACTCATAGATTTCACCAGTGTTTCCATGTCTTCCCATCAACCTGAAGTAAGTGGTTTGATAAAACAGTGAAATTGTGTTTTGAAGAGCTGGTTACAGTACCAGCTAGGTGGCAACATCTTGAAGGGCTGGGAAAATGTTCTCTAGAAGGCTGTATATGCTTCATGTATATGATTCACGGTCCAACATTTAGAGAGTGGAAATGAAAGTGGTACCACTCACTGTTACTCCTACTGACCCAGTAGCAAAATGCTTACTTCCTGTTTCTGTGACCTTGTGCTCTGCTGGCCTAAATCCGTTAGTTCCAAAAAGGAGAATGCTTCCACCAGGAGACACAACAATTATTCCATTGAAATGGAAGTTAAGACTGCCATATGGCCACTTTGGACTCCTCATGCCTCTGAATAAACAGACAAAGAAGAGAGTTACTGTGCAGGCCAGGGTGATTAATTCTGACTGCTATAGGAAAATTGGACTTCTGGCCAGATGCGGTGGCTCAAGCCTGTAATCCCAGCACTTTGGGAGGCCAAGGTGGGCGGATCATCTGAGGTTGGGAGTTTGAGACCAGCCTGGCCAACATGGCGAAACCCCGTCTCTACTAAAAATACAAAAATTAGCAGGGCGTGGTGTTGTGTGTCTGTAATCCCAGCTACTCGGGAGGCTGAGGCAGAAGAATCACTTGAACCCAGGAGGCGGAGTTTGCAGTGAGCTGGGATCGTGCCATTTCACTCTAGACTAGGCGACAAGAGTGAGACTCTGTCTCAAACAAAAAGTTGGACTTTTATTCCACGTTGGCTGTAAGGAAAAGTATGTCTGGAATATATCCTTGAGAAACACTAACTCAGCAAACCATCCGTCTGGAGAACTTGTTCTCTCATAACGTAGACTACCCCTGATGTAGCTATATAATTTCCACCCACCTGCCATCTAGCAGTATATAAACATTTAAACTTTTTTTTAAAAAAAGTTATTTTTAATAAAATTGGGCATATTTAGCGTATACAACACAATTTTTTATAGACATATACATAGTGAAATGATTACTTTACATTAGACATCTAGACTTATTCATCCTACATAGCTGCAACTTTGTGCTTTTTGCCCAAAATTTCCCCATTTTCCCACCTCCTCATTCTTCATAACAACTGTTTGCTCTCTGCTTCTAAGAGATGTACTGTTTTAGATTCCACATATAAGTGAGATCATGCACTATTTTTCTCTCTGTGTCTGGCTTATTTCACTTAGCATAATGTCCTCCAGATTTACCTATGTTGTTTCAAATGGCAGGATTTCTTTGTTTTTTCAGGCTGAATAGTACGCCATTCTGTCTGTCTCTCTATGTTTGTGTGTGTGTATCACAATTTATTTTTTTAACTGTCACATAAGTGTTTTTATAATTTACAGTATGATGTTTTGAGGTATGTATATGTTGTGGAATGGTAAAATGTAGGTAATTAAAGAATACATTACCCCATAATGCATTTATAAAATGTTACTAATAAAAATCATAGACATTTAAAAAAATCATATATAACAGGCCTGCTCTTGGGGTTTGCATGTCATGACAACAAGTGTTTTTTTAATTGTTAATCTATGTATTTGAAGGTTCTATTTACATGTAATTGTACATTTAATTCTCACAAAATAATCAGATATTAAATTAAAAATTGAAACTATTTGAACACAAAAATGTAATATCCTACATTTAACTTCATTTTCATGTTTTGTTGTGTTCTGGTAATTATAATTAAATGTTACACTAAATTGTTCATAGAGGATCAAGGAAAAGGTTAAAAGGCAGAATTAGCCATAAAATGTGAAAAGTTCAGTTATTATAAAAATTTTCAGATGCATTAGATTTTGTAGCACAGCTGCACAAAAGGTATCAAAAATGTGAGAATATAAGGGAAGATCAAATTAAATCAAATACATATTCAATAACTTTCAAAGATTAAACTATACATAATATGCAAAATACATAATAAAAATTAGCATATAATTTGGAAGCAAAATTGCATTGAAATTCTTAAAGTATTTATGCTTTTATGTGTTTTGATACAAAAATATGCATACATATTTCAAAACTTAAGAACACTAACACCCCAGCCTGGATGACAGATCGACTCTCTCAAAAACAAACAACCCATCTCCACCCCACTCCACACACAGACTTAAAGACAATCCACACAAAATACTTTCACTATTATTTTTAATGTGCAGGCAGTGTCTCACTTCATTACCCAGGCTGATCTTGAGCCACTGTTTTCAAGCGATCCTCTGGCCTCAGCCTCCCAAAGTGCTGGGATTACAGGCATGAGCCACTGTGCTGGCCCACTAATTTCTCATTTAATTTACAGCTATAAAAACTATGTTATACTATTACAGAGGGATATATAATTCATTTCAGAGATCAGAATATATAGAATCTTATTTTCAATTTACCAGAAAAATTACTCTATATACCTTAGATAAATAATTCAAGTAGAATGAAATCTAAAGCTTACATAATAGATTTACATCAGAGTATTTTTTTAGAAATACTAAATATTTTTGCAAGTGCTGATGAAAGTATAACACGTCACCAAGATTTGATAGAATTGTAATAAATGTTAAAAGTGATTTTTTGTAAGAAGAGACCCACAGGAAATTTGAAGGTAAAATTCCTCAAACTCCGAACAATAAAATTATTTATGAGCAAAAATGAATTAAATTATCATTTATTCACTTACATTGTTGACTATTAATCAAATAAAATATTTTTAAAACATCCGTTATATACCAAGAACCCTACGAGACACTGGGAATATTTTGATGAGTAGGAGATATTAGAATCTCTGCCCTTCATAATTTGAGGACCCTTAACACGGAGTGGCATTAATCAAAAAATTACATTTACAATCTTCTGTAACTCTGCTAAGTGTGATAAAACAAGATTAGAAGAAATGAATACTTTAAATATAGCCAATCAAACAAATTACTTTCTTCCAAAATAATGAGACCTAATTCCATAAGAAACCTTATTCAAATTGTCAAAATTTTCTTAATGTAGATTTTTTTATATGAACTGTCAGGTATGTTTGGCTATGTAAGTTAGACTAAGATATGGGATAGAGGGGTTTTTTAACAAAACCTGATTATTGGATTTCTTCACGCATATACTATTTCATTAAAGTAATAAATTTACTAACTTTCTATTTGGAAGGTCTGAGTTCTCAAAAGTATTTTTATGATTTATATAATTTAGTCCTCACAATGATTTTGTGGGATAAGAACAAGCATTACCTTCTTTTCACTGATGGGGAAACTGTGTTCAGTAATTTATTCAGTGTAAGAAAGGTAGAAAGCAAACACACCAAGATTTCTTCCCCCAGGGTTTTTGACTCTAGAGCCTCTGTACTTAAGTACTGCAGTGATTTGATACAACACGTATATATGTTGAGCAGATGGTCATTCTCTATCATGATTTCTACATCTCTAAAATGAAAGTTTTACTCAGCATCTAATTATGTGAGAATAAAAATTGATAAGCCTGAACAAACTATATTTTTCTCTTAATTGCAGCAAATGCATCCATATAAACTTGTTCAGAATGATAGAAATTGTAATAATTTTTTGGTGTCAACCTTGCAAACAGCAAATTGGAACATGTGAGCCTAGTCCATCAGCAGTCATAATTTCATATTTGTCCTCAAATTTACTATTTTGAGAAGATGTTTGTTACTCTTAATTTTTAATTGCCTCTCCAATTGCAAAGAAATATGCAATCAAGCACTAAAATTGGACTACCCTTCGTCCAATGAAATTCTCACTCTGTAAAATCCATGATTTATGTTGTTAATAAAAAAGAAGATAGAAGAAGCATTGCAGACAATGACACTGGTCTTGCTTAGAGACCCTGTAAATAGGATAGACATAACAGTAACTCACAATTATCAGTCAATAGTTATTCTAGTCTATTCCTGATATATACATATATGTATATATGTATACATTATATTCCTCTGATATATGTATATACATATATACACACATATATGTATATATCAGGAATAGACTGTTACATAAATGATACATATGTGTATATATAATTGTACCTCTGCAATAACACATATTGTGTAACATTTTTACTTCTCATGTTTCCATATTCTGCACTATATTATGAAAACTTAGACATTATAACTTCAAATTTCCTTAGTGTCCAGCACAAGGCCTACTTCCCAAGAGGGCTCATTGCATCTTGAAGAAAATTAGCCAGTTCAACATATGTCTTGTTATCTTAGCAATAGCCTTGTTACACTCATTAAAAATAAACACATTTCTAAATGTCTAGAACTATAAATTTTGTGGAAATCAAATTGAGTTTCTTTTTATCATATATAAATTATTTCTGTATCTTATCTGATATCAAAAAGTACAGTGGCCAAATTCAGAAGTATTGGCCCCATATGCTTTCTGAGTTTTCAAATTATAATGGAATTCTTTTGCAAGTACACATTTTCTATATAACACAATTATTTTATTTTGGATAGCCAGAGGGGGTGATATGTATCAAGTACTACTGAAATACATGAAATATGTTGTGCATATTTGAAAAGTTAATCTAATATGCATAGTAAACTTAAAGGGTGAATCTATAAAGAGTAAAATTAATCTATAAAGAGTAAAATTAATCTATAAAGAGTGAAAATCCATACATCGTTTAGAAAAGTATTGATTCCTAGGCAACATGGTGAAACCTCATCTCTACAAAAAAAAAAAAATAGAAAAATTAGCCAAGTGTGATGGCATGTGCCTGTAATCCTAGCTACTCAGGAGGTTGAGGTGGGAGGATCACCTAAGCCGCGGGAGGTTGAGGCTGCAGTGAACTGTGAGCACTCCACTACACTCCAGCCTGGGTGACAGAGCAAGATCTTATCTCAAAAAAAAAAAAAAAAAAAAAAAAATATATATATATATATATATATAGTTATTATAGTTTTTGCAAGTGTTCTCAGTCACCTGGCCAAGCATATTATAACAATGAATGCAGACTAATAGAGACCATAAAAATTAACTGTGATATTTCATGAAAAATATCTTATTCACTCATTAATTCAATTATTAATTTAGTATTCTATTATTAAGTTATATTAACCTTTATAGATTAATATACATATATTTATTAGTTATCTAGTATTTGGTATGCCTTTGTTTACTAATTTAGATGTTAAAAATAATGTTTAAGGTAAAATCATAACTCTTACATATCAATACACGATAAAAGTTTAATTTAACTCATCAATTGAAGAGAAAACTAGCACAATGTTCGAACTCATTTAAAGTTTAATTTGCCACCACCACCGCCACACACACACACACAAACACACACAGAGGCAACAATGTATATTGAAATGAATGTACAAATAGATGCAAAATTGATAAACATCCACAATCCAATAATCAATTGTATCTCCATTGGACACAAATTGCATGTCAACGACCAAGCATTATTAGCATTATTAATAGTGTGCTACAATTTACCAAATTGTAAAACAACTCAAACACAATGAAAGAGAGGGATATCCCAGAAGGATGTGCTTGATAGAACACACAAGAATCATTTTTCTTCATTTCAAAGAATTTCACAATTTTTTTTTCTGACATGGGCATTACACATTTATATGGTTTGGCTGTGTCCCCACCTAAATCTCATCTTGAATTGTAGCTCCCATAATTTCCACGTGTCATGGGAGAGACCTGGTGGGAGGTAATTGAATTATGGGGGCGGGTCTTTCTCATGCTGTTCTCATGATAGTAAGTCTCACAGATCTGATGTTGTGTAAAGGGGACTGCAAGACCTGATTTTGCTACACCTTTGCCTTCTGCCATGATTGTGAGGCCTCCCCAGCCCTGCAGAACTGTGAGTCCATTAAACCTCTTTCCTTTATAAATTACCCAGTCTTGGGTATGTCTTTATTAGCAGTGTGAGAACCTACTAATATACACTTATTGCTATATTTATAGCAATGAACAAGAAAAGACAATAACTTTTGCCCTCATGGGGTTTATATTCTAATTTTAAGATGATACCACAATTTTGCATGACCTAAAGAAAATAAATAAAATAAATCTTACCTTTTTGATTAGATAATGTGTTCACTAAATATAGAACAGACATATTTCAAAATGTCTATTTCCTTCTTTAATGTTCATGGAAACCTTTGACGCTTTAATATATTATTGAACATTTACCTTGTGTTTGCCAACTTGTTGTACTAGTGAAATACACATACAAAAACTGAGATGTATTGCCTGCCCTTTTTGGAGAAGAGATGAAGGTGGAAAGTTGGAGGTGAAAACCATAATTTTTATAAGATATGGGTAATGCTCCAGATTTTTCATAATATGTTAATTTTATAGAAGTAAATTTTTTCTTTCAATTTAGTCTACTCTAGGACAGTAACTAAGGACTCAGGCACTGATAACAGAATGCTTGGATATAAGTTTGGATTCTGCCAAATACCAGCTGTAAGACGTTGGGAATATTACTTTTCTGAGACTCAGTTTCTTCATTTATCAAATAGAGGTAATAATGTTACCTCTTAAAGCTGTTGTGAGATTTAGATAATGTATATATGTTAAGCCTGTTAAAGGAAGAGTGTCTATTAAGAATCATGTCGTTAATTATTTTTATTATCCTTAGCTTTTTGTTTATTTTTTCTATCTAAACATCAAGATTGTTGAGTGCAGGAACCACTTCCAAATCACTGGAAACTCTTACACATAGAACGTGTTTGGAGTTGAATTTTTACTATCCTGCCTCAAACTTACATGTGAAAACTTGTATATTCTTGAATTTTTTTATTCCCTTTAATGATTAACATCTGTAATTCACAACAATGGTAATAATCTGTCGTTGGTGTCCTGTATGCCTGTACTTACCTTTACTTGGTTGAAATAATTAAACTGTAGTTTCATACTACTATTCTTAAATGTTAATTTCCAAGTGTAAATTTTATTTAAGTTATTTTACTTTAAAATGTTAGTTTTATTTAGCACAGATAAGTTGATAAAAAGCCCAAAATGACTTGCCTAACCATAGACCTCATGAGGATGTAATTACAGCATCATTTTAAAATAGTTTGTTTACCCGTAACCTCACTTTACATAATACGTAAGTATTGCTTCAACCGTAATTTTATTAGCTTGGATGTAAAGGCAGATTAATTCATTGTGAAAGATTTTTGAGTGATGAATTCAGGTAGAGTAAGAAGATTGATTTTAGTTATTCAAAGAAACTGGTTTAAGGTTTGAGCTTTTGTTTTTTTTTTGTTGTTGTTTTGAAAAAAACAGATTCCAAAATACTTTTGTTACAGACAATTATTTTTATTTAAAAAATGGGACAGAAAATAAGCTATTAAAATATGAGGTATAAAATATATCCTAGGTTTATAATGGAAAATAAAATAATATAATATCCTTAGATATACAGCCCTTCCACACGCAGTAGTTCCTTTGGTTTAAATCCAATTTCCATGTTCCAAGAGCAAGTATTTTTCATTAATATCATGTTATAGCTAAGGAAACTGAGGCTAAGAATTATTTGCAAATGGATAAATAAGTTCATGTAATAGACATTGAGAGCACTATAAATAATAGAGCTATTATCCACATAGTATTTTTATTATCATTTTAAAGGAAAAATAACAACATCATACAGTGTCATAGTTGAAAAGTGTGTGTTAACTTGAAACTCTTTTGTTCCCAGTAAGAGATTGTATTCTCTGACTAGGAAGTGTCAGAATCTAGAGTAGAATCTAATTTGTTTTCTCATAAACTCTTCTTCCTTTTGCATTGTATTCTCTTTGAGAAAAATTTTTTGAGGATAATTTTTAGAGAATTTTGGAGAAAAGAAGAGTTAGTAATACCAGGCATCCTTGTGCCTTTGTACATCCTCATGTAAAATGGATGTAAATATTTGTACTAATTTCGAAGACTGTAGATTAAAAGAATAAAACATACAAAACACTTATCATTGGGCCTGATGCAGATTAAGCCCTTAATAAAATTGTAACTCTTGCCCTGACATCTTTAAGAAATTATCTCACTCTATACTGAAATATCTATTTGTCTATTTCCCTATATTTTCTCCTGAAACATAAACTACCATTCATGCTTCTACTATATCTTGTCAGTCCTAATCCTAAACAAGACTTCTGAAAGTTGTTTACATGTCATAATTTCTCCCTTCATTATTAAACTCACATTTGTAGGGACTTTAAACCTATCATCATTAAAAGTACTTAAATAGCTGTGAGGATTAGCAGTGGTCTTTGTCTAGCCACAGGCCTAAATTCTTAGAATTAGACAGATTTCCATGAGAAATATTGGCTTTCACATATAGAACATGCAAGTATATAAATAAAAGGTTTATTCATATACATGGGCAGGGAACTAATTTGTCACATTATACAAAAATTAACTGAAAACCTGCTATGTGCCAGAATTATTTTAATATATATGTTCTCTTTTAATGGTTTCAGCATCCTTATGCTTTATACCTTTCTTATTTCTTTCCTTCCTTCTTTTCTTTTTCATTCATTTTCTTCCTTTATTTAGCTATTCTATAAATATTTTTCAGTCTTAATATGTGCCTAGGGGATGTGGATTACATATATAATATTTCCCTAAAGAGCTTTAGTATATTGAAGAAGAATTTTATTTTATTATTATTATACTTTAAGTTTTAGGGTACATGTGCACAATGTGCAGGTTAGTTACATATGTATACATGTGCCATGCTGGTGTGCTGCACCCGTTAACTCGTCATTTAGCATTAGGTATATCTCCTAATGCTATCCCTCCCCCCTCCCCCCACCCCACAACAGTCCCCAGAGTGTGATGTTCCCCTTCCTGTGTCCGTGTGTTCTCATTGTTCAATTCCCACCTATGAGTGAGAATATGCGGTGTTTGGTTTTTTGTCCTTGCGATAGTTTACTGAGAATGATGATTTCCAATTTCATCCATGTCCCTACAAAGGACATGAACGCATCATTTTTTCTGGCTGCATGGTATTCCATGGTGTATATGTGTCACATTTTCTTAATCCAGTCTATCATTGTTGGACATTTGGATTGGTTCCAAGTCTTTGCTATTGTGAATAGTGCCGCAATAAACATACGTGTGCATGTGTCTTTATAGCAGCATGATTTATAGTCCTTTGGGTATATACCCAGTAATGGGATGGCTGGGTCAAATGGTATTTCTAGTTCTAGATCCCTGAGGTATCACCACACCAACTTCCACAATGGTTGAACTAGTTTACAGTCCCACCAACAGTGTAAAAGTGTTCCTATTTCTCCACATCCTCTCCAGCACCTGTTGTTTCCTGACTTTTTAATGATTGCCATTCTAACTGGTGTGAGATGGTATCTCATTGTGGTTTTGATTTGCATTTCTCTGATGGCCAGTGATGGTGAGCATTTTTTCATGTGTTTTTTGGCTGGATAAATGTCTTCTTTTGAGAAGTGTCTGTTCATGTCCTTTGCCCACTTTTTGATGGGGTTGTTTGTTGTTTTGTTGTAAATTTGTTTGAGTTCGTTGTAGATTCTGGATATTAGCCCTTTGTCAGATAAGTAGGTTGTGAAAATATTCTCCCATTTTGTAGGTTGCCTGTTCACTGTGATGGTAGTTTCTTTTGCTGTGCAGAAGCTCTTTAGTTTAATTAGATCCCATTTGTCAATTTTGGCTTTTGTTGCCATTGCTTTTGGTGTTTTAGACATGAAGTCCTTGCCCATGCCTATGTCCTAAATGGTAATGCCTAGGTTTTCTTCTAGGGTTTTTATGGTTTTAGGTCTATTGTTTAAGTCTTTAATCCACCTTGAATTAATTTTTGTATAAGGTGTAAGGAAGGGATCCAGTTTCAGCTTTGTACATATGGCTAGCCAGTTTTCCCAGCACCATTTATTAAATAGGGAGTCCTTTCCCCATCACTTGTTTTTCTCAGGTTTGTCAAAGATCAGATAGTTGTAGATATGCGGCATTATTTCTGAGGGCTCTGTTCTGTTCCACTGATCTATATCTCTGTTTTGGTACAAGTACCATGCTGTTTTGGTTACTGTAGCCTTGTAGTATAGTTTGAAGTCAGGTAGTGTGATGCCTCCAGCTTTGTTCTTTTGGCTTAGGATTGACTTGGCAATGCAAGCTCTTTTTTGGTTCCATATGAACTTTAAAGTAGTTTTTTCCAATTCTGTGAAAAAAGTCATTGGTAGATTGATGGGGATGGCATTGAATCTATAAATTACCTTGGGCAGTGTGGCCATTTTCACGATATTGATTCTTCCTACCCATAAACATGGAATGTTCTTCCATTTGTTTGTATCCTCTTTTATTTCATTGAGCAGTGGTTTGTAGTTCTCCTTGAAGAGGTCCTTCACGTCCCTTGTAAGTTGGATTCCTAGGTATTTTATTCTCTTTGAAGCAATTGTGAATGGGAGTTCACTCATGATTTGGCTCTGTTTGTCTGTTATTGGTGTATAAGAATGCTTGTGATTTTTGTACATTGATTTTGTATCCTGAGACTTTGCTGAAGTTGCTTATCAGCTTAAGGAGATTTTGGGCTGAGACAATGGGGTTTTCTAGATATACAATCATGTCATCTGCAAACAGGGACAATTTGACTTCCTCTTTTCCGAATTGAATACCCTTGATTTCCTTCTCCTGCCTAATTGCCCTGACCAGGACTTCCAACACTATGTTGAATAGGAGTGGTGAGAGAGGGCAGCCCTGTCTTGTGCCAGTTTTCAAAGGGAATGCTTCCAGGTTCTGCCCATTCAGTATGATGTCGGCTGTGGGTTTGTCATAGATAGCTCTTATTATTTTGAGATACATCCCATCAATACCTAATTTATTGAGAGTTTTTAGCATGAAGGGTTGTTGAATTTTGTCAAAGGCCTTTTCTGCATCTATTGAGATAATCATGTGGTTTTTGTCTTTGGTTCTGTTCATATGCTGGATTACATTTATTGATTTGCATATATTGAACCAGCCTTGCATCCCAGGGATGAAGCCCACTTAATCATGGTGGATAAGCTTTTTGATGTGCTGCTGGATTTGGTTTGCCAGTATTTTATTGAGGATTTTTGCATCAATGTTCATCAAGGATATTGGTCTAAAATTCTCTTTTTTGGTTGTGTCTCTGCCCAGCTTTGGTATCAGGATGATGCTGGCCTCCTAAAATGAGTTAGGGAGGATTCCCTCTTTTTCTATTGATTGGAATAGTTTCAGAAGGAATGGTACCAGTTCCTCCTTGTACCTCTGGTAGAATTCAGCTGTGAATCCATCTGGTCCTGGACTCTTTTTGGTTGGTAAGCTATTGATTATTGCCACAATTTCAGAGCCTGTTATTGGTCTATTCAGAGATTCAACTTCTTCCTGGTTTAGTCTTGGGAGGGTGTATGTGTGGAGGAATTTATCCATTTCTTCTAGATTTTCTAGTTTGTTTGCGTAGAGGTGTTTGTAGTATTCTCTGATGGTAGTTTGTATTTGTGTGGGATTGGTGGTGATATCCCCTTTATCCTTTTTTATTGCATCTATTTGATTCTTCTCTCTTTTCTTCTTTATTAGTCTTGCTAGCGGTCTATCAATTTTGTTGATCCTTTCAAAAAACCAGCTTGTGGATTCATTAATTTTTTGAAGGGTTTTTTGTGTCTCTGTTTCCTTCAGTTCTGCTCTGATTTTAGTTATTTCTTGCCTTCTGCTAGCTTTTGAATGTGTTTGCTCTTGCTTTTCTAGTTCTTTTAATTATGATGTTAGGGTGTCAATTTTGGATCTTTCCTGCTTTCTCTTGTGGGCATTTGGTGCTATAAATTTCCCTCTACACACTGCTTTGAATGTGTCCCAGAGATTCTGGTATGCTGTGTCTTTGTTCTCGTTGGTTTCAAAGGACATCTTTATTTCTGCCTTCATTTCATTATGTGCCCAGTAGTCATTCAGGAGCAGGTTGTTCAGTTTCCATGTAGTTGAGCAGTTCTGAGTGAGTTTCTTAATCCTGAGTTCTAGTTTGATTGCACTGTGGTCTGAGAGACAGTTTGTTATAATTTCTGTTCTTTTACATTTGTGAAGAAGCATTTTTATAATTAAAATTACTTTACAATGTAATTTTTTTTTTTTTTTTTTTTTGAGATAGAGTCTCGCTCTGTCGCCCAGACTGGATGGAGTGCAGTGGCTCAATCTTGGCTCACTGCAAGCTCCGCCTCCCGGGTTCATGCCATTCTCCTGCCTCAGCCTCCTGAGTAGCTGGGACTACAGGTGCTCGCCACACCCGGCTAATTTTTTGTATTTTTAGTAGAAATGGGGTTTCACCGTGTTAATTAGGATGGTCTCGATCTCCTGACCTCGTGAACCGCCTGCCTTGGCCTCCCAAAGTGATGGGATTACAGGCATGAGCCACCGTGCCCGGCCTACAATGTAATTTTTATACTAAGAGGATCTGTAAGGCGTATGAGTAACTGCAGGTAGTAATGTCTAAGTGTGCCGGAAAGTTAGGGAAAAATTTCACAGAAATGGTAACCTGAAGGTGATCAACTTATTAGAGTTAGCCACTGGGTTTTGAATCCTCAATTTCAATTTATCATATACAAGTTATATGATTTTAGGTGATTTCTTTTTTTTTTTTTTTTTTTTTTTTGAGACAGAGTTTTGCTGCATCACCCAGGCTGGAGTGCAGTGGCATAATCTCGGCTCACTGCAATCTCCGCCTGCCTCCCAGGTTCAAGTGATTCTCTTGCCTCAGCCTCTCAAGTAGCTGAGATTATAGGACCTCTCAAGTAGCTGAGATTATAGGAGTGTGTGCCATCACACCCAGCTAGTTTGTGTATTTTTAGTAGAGATGACTTTTTGCCATGTTGACCAGGCTGGTCTTGAACTTCTGACGTCAAGTGAGCCCCCTGTCTCAGTCTACCAAAATGCTGAGATTATAGGCATGAGTCACCTCGCCTGTCCTGAGTTATTGGATCTTTTTGACATCAATTTTGCTAATCCATAAATTGGAATAAAATTGTACCTACCTGGGAAGACTGAAATAACAATTAAAAAAATTTACCTAATCTAGGTTAGGGCAGGTGGATTCCACAATACACATCATATTATTAGCAGTTTGCCTATAAGACTGTGTGATAAAGCATATGTAGAAGCATGTAGATGGGAGATGAAGCAAGCAAAGAGAAGGTTAGGTTGTTAACCTTAGGTCCTAGATAGGTGAGTATTTAAATTTTAGATCTCTCTTTTCTCTCTCTCTCTCTCTCTCACACACACACACACACACACACACAGAATGCATTTGTATTAAGAAGTTAATAGTGTTAATTAATAATTTTCTCTGGTTTAAAATAGAATTATTTACATACTCTTTAAAGAATAATTTCTCCCTAGTAGATGAAAAGCATATACCATTAGTGGGAAAAGCAGCAGGTGTGCTATTTTCCTACAGCTCTTTTAAGTAATGTCATGTATAATGTATTCTTATTGCAAGAAAATAAAATAGTCTAGTTACTGTTTGTCAATTTTATTGCACGACTGTGAGAATGGAATTGGAATCTCTGTAGGTTAAATTTAAAAACAAATATATCCTTAAGGAATTGGTGAGAAAGTAATTCCTATTCACAAATTCTTCACAAATTAACCCTCGCCTTAAAGTGTTTTAAGTACAGTCAAAGAATGCTTTTGAAGTTCAGCCTCAAAAAGACCAAGAGGCAGACAGAGAATATTATGTGCGTCATCAAACATTGCACCATATTTACCAATGGAATAAGAAACCATTGAATGAAATAATTGCCTTGAGTAATACTATTTTAGAATTAAATAACAAATTTCTAAATTAACAACAACACACATACATGCCTTATTTTGATACATCTAAATGAATGAAAACTGACATACTTCAAGTCTTAATCACTGAAAATTTTTTAACAATAGAGATAAGGATTTGTGGGAGAAAAACATACCAAAAATAAGGTCATAATCAAAGGATTTGAAGTAAGAATAATAATGGACTTTTACATCAAAAAAACTGGAAGAGATGAAGAAATACCTTTCCTACAGGAAAATGATCTTCAACCCAGCACTCTACTTCAGTCAAAAAATATTAATCAAAAGTGTGAATCAAATGATATTTTTGAGATATTTGAAGTTTTAAAAATGTATATCCCATTTCACCTTGCTGAGAGACCTATTGGAAAAATTTCCCAAATGTCCATCAATGATAGACTGGATTAAGAAAATCTGGCACATATACACCATGGAATACTATGCAGCCATAAAAATGATGATTTCATGTCCTTTGTAGGGACATGGATGAAATTGGAAATCATCATTCTCAGTAAACTATCGCAAGAACAAAAAACCAAACACCGCAATTCCCATAGGTGGGAATTGAACAATGAGAACACATGGACACAGGAAGGGGAACATCACACTCTGGGGACTGTTGTGGGGTGGGGGGAGGGGGGAGGGATAGCATTGGGAGATATACCTAATGCTAGATGACGAGTTAGTGGGTGCAGCGCACCAGCATGGCACATGTATACATATGTAACTAACCTGCACATTGTGCACATGTACCCTAAAACTTAAAGTATAATAATAATTAAAAAAAGAAAAAAAAAAGAAAATTTTCTCCAGCAAAAAGAGAGATTATAACAATAATATGTGTGGTCCAGGAAACAAGGATCCAACAGAGAAGTGAGGCAATAGTAATAGGCAGAATGATGCTGATAGGAGGTTTCAGAAGTACAGCTGAGTTAACATCTAGAAGAAGTCACTTCACATTGCAGCATTCCAAGGTGGGAGTCTACAGTGGGGAAACAAACAAGTAAACAGAAAGGAATTGCTTGCTGTATTTCACCATATTGACAGGAGGTTTACATTTAAGTTTGAAAGTACTGAGAAAAATTATTAATTGGACATTATCAAATGAAAATCTTAAGAGCTACTTCATCAGAAAATGAAAATTTAATCCACAGATTGTTAGGAAATATTTGCAAGTCATATGCCTAGCATAGAGTTTTCATCTAGAATGTTTAAAGCACTCTAAACACTCAGTAATACAAAAACAAAAAACCCAAATAACAGTAGGCAATATGTTTGAACAGTTATTTTACCAAAGAAGATATGAAGGTGGCAAACAAGGATTAAAAAGATGTTTGACATAATTGATAATTAAATTAAACCACAATAAAATATTTTAGTTTAGCAAAAGTTAAAAAGACCACCCATACCAAGTATTGGAGATGATACAGAGTAACTGGAACCCTCAAAAACTGCTGATGGGAATGTGTAATATAAACCATTTATGATGAAAAAAATCTTAGAGAAAAGCTAGAATTCTACACCAACCATCTTAAATTGTCTAGATTCCACATCAACCATCTTAAATTCTCTAAGGAGAATCTGTTATGAGCTGTCAGTCTGTACCTCCTGCAGAGGCTCTGCTTCCTTTCTGGCATTCTTCTGTCATCCAATCAACGAAAGGAAGATGTATGTTCTTTCTGTTTATAGTACGTTACTCCTCTTATGTTATGTTTATTTTCATCTCCAGTTTACTCATTGGGTACCTCTGGGTCCTGAGTCATCTAACAAAATACACTTTATGTATTCATGTGATTTGTGTGAGGGAGAATCTCCCCGGAGCTACACTGCAGTCTTAGGTAGGTCCCCACACTTTCAGAGGCTTTTCCTCCAGGATTTTTCTCCACGTTCTCACTGTAAAGATCTGAGAATGATTCTGTGGGATCCAGGGAGTGGGGAGGGGAAGAGTTATCCTTTTTAAATGAACCCAGATCTTCTTTCTAACAAAGGCCTACTCTCCAGTGAGGAAGAGTTTGGCCAGAGTCATGCCAGGACTGTTAGCAAGGGTATTTGTCATACTCTAGCCCCCTGTATACTTTCTATCTCAATGAAAATGGGAAATTCATATAAGAAGAAACATTTCTTTCTTTTTTTTTTTTTTTTTTGAGATGGAGTCTTGCTCTGTCACCCAGGCTGGAGTGCAGTGGCGTGATCTCGGCTCTGCCTCCCAGGTTCACATCATTCCCTTGCCTCAGCCTCCTGACTAGCTGGGACTACAGGCGCCTGCCACCACGCCCAGCTAATTTTTTATATTTTTTAGTAGAGATGGGGTTTCACCATGTTAGCCAGGATGGTCTCGATCTCCTGACCTCGTGATCTGCCCGTCTAGGCCTCCCAAAGTGCTGGGATTACAGGTGTGAGCCACCACTCCTGGCAGAAGAAACATTTCTTAAGGCTACAGGCTAGAGACACAGACCCAAGAAAAGACTGAGATTTAACTGGAGGATCATAGACCATAGATCATAGATTATATCATTTCCCTCTCTTATACGTTACCATCAAACCAACAGAGCCTCAGTACCATAAAAGACAATAGTTGAAAGCTGCAAATCATAGACATTCTCTGTAGATGAGTACTTAGGAAAGTCCAAAGCAAAAGGGACAACAAAACCAGACACTAAAGGAATTTGAAATCAAGTCTTAGGCACCTTTAGGTACAGCAAACTCTAAATAAAGCCAAAGCCCAACCACATTGACAGAGATCTCCACATTAGAGGCCTGTTCATCTCTGTTCCTATTACCCGATACAGTATGCTTGAATTTCAACAAAAATTTGCAAGGCATACCTAAAGGAAAGAAAGAATAATCTGAAGAGACAAAGTAATCATCAGAACCAAATTCATACATCACGAGGATGTTGTAAATACCACATAGATAATTTAAAATACCTATGAATAATATGTTAAGAGATCTAATAAAAAAGGAAGACAGAATGCAAGAACAAATGAGTAAACAGGGAGATGGAGACTCTAAGAAAGAACTGAAAGAAAATGCTAGAAATAAAAAATACCATAATAGAAATAAAGACCATTGATAGGTTCATTAGAGAATGGACATAGGTAGAAAGCTAAGGAAAGATCAGTGGGCTTGAAAATATATCAACAGAAATTTCCCAAACTAAAACTTAAAGAGGAAAAATAAAATAAAATAAAATCACAGCAGAGTATCTAAGTACTGTGGGACAATTTCAAAAAGTGTATTATGTGTTATTGTAATATTAGAAGGAGAAGAAAGAGAACAGAGCTGAAAAAATATTTGAAAAAATAATGGCTGAAAACTTTCCAAAATGAGTGACAAATGATTCTCATGTCCTGGAAGTTGAGAGAACACTAAGCTAAATAAACTATAAAGATAAAAACAAAACAAAAAAATTTCTCTAGGCATGTCATATGCAAACTGCAGAAAATGAAAGACAAAGGAAAAATCTTAAAGCCAGAGGGATTAAAAAAACACTTTTTCTATACAGGAACAAGGATCAGAATTACAGCCCACCTCTTATCAGAAACTATACAAATGAGAAGAGTGCAATGATATACCTTTCAAGAGAAAAAGCCCACTAACCTAGAATTCTATACCTAGTAAAATGATACTTTAAAAGTGAAGAAGTAAAAACTTTCTCAGACTAACAAAATCTGAGAGATTTTAATGAAGGCAGACATGTCATGCAAACGATATTGAAAAAGGGAGAGTGAAATAATATAGGTCAGAAACTCAGATCTACATGAGGAAAGGAAGACAGAGAAGGAATAAATAAAGATAAAACAAAATGCCTTCTTTTCCTTATTAATAGTTATAGAAATAACTTCAAAGTAATAATGATAACCTGATAACCATATATTGGGTGATTGTAGCCTATGGATAGGTGAAATAACAGTCATGTCAGAAAGATCAGGAGAGATAAATTAGGAATATTCTGTTACAAGGTACAGGTGCTACACATGAAGCAGAATACTGTTATTTAAAAATCAAATTAAATTAGTTAAAAAAGGATATTGTGACTGGGTGTGATGGCTCATGCCTGTAATCCCAGCACTTTGTGAAGCTGAGGTAAGAGAATCATTTGAAGGCAGGAGTTCAAGACCTGGGCAACATAGCAAGATTTTGTCTCAAAAAAAAAAAATTCATAGTCTGGTCTGGTGACATGTGCTGGTAGACCCAGCTACTCAGGAGGCTGAGGTAGAGGATTGCTTGAGTCGAGGAGATCAAGGTTACAGTGAGCTATGACCAAACTATTGCACTTTAGCCTTGGCAACAGCAAGACTCTGCCAAAAAAAAAAAAAAAAAAAAAAAAAAAAAAAAAAAAAAAAGAAAGGAAGGAAGGATATTGTAAACCTCAGGACAATCAATACAATCATTAAAAGAAGTGTAATTGGTGCTCTAAAAGAGAAGATAAAAATAATCATGTAAAGTACCCAACTAAAACCAGAGCACATAGAAAGAGGAATATGGAAATCAGTGAAATACAGTTACAAAAAAATTGCTTATCAGAGTGGAGAAAAACAAATAAACAAGACCCACCTATAATCTATTTACAAGAAACGCTTTAAATATAAAGACTCAGGTAGGTTAAAAGAGACGAGAAAAGATATATTATGCTCCCACTAATCAAAAGAAATCTTCAGTACCTCAAGTAATTTCAGATAAAGCGGTCTTCAGGGAATCAATTCTGCAAACAGACATAACAATCCTATATGTGCATGCACCTAGCAACGTTATGCCAAAATATGTTAGACAAGTGATAAAACAGACAGGAATAAGAGAAAACCCACCATTACGGTTGGATACATTAAATACCCCTATTTGTAACTGATAAGCCAAGCAGGCAGAAACCTCATAAAGATATGCTTGACCAGTCAGCACTATAAAACAGCTTGATATAATTGGCAATTATAGTCTATCCAACAGCAGGAGGAATTCTTTTGAGACTGTGTAGAACATTTAGCAAGATAGCACACATTCTAGACTATAAAACACACCTGAGCACATGAAGACAAAATGAAATCATAAAACATATATCCCCATGCCACGTGGAATAAAAGTAGGATTCAGTAAAAGAAAGATAGTTGAAGAAATGTCAAATTATTTGAAATTTAACAGTGTACTTTGAATAACACATTGGTCAAAGAAGTCTGAAGAGAAACTTAAAAAATATTTTGAACTAAATGAAAATGAAACTATAACTGGTCAAACCATGTGAGATCCAGAAAAAGCAGTGCACAGAGACAAACGTATAACATTAAATGCATATATTAGAAAGTAAAATCTATAATCAATAACTTAAGCTTCTACTTTAAGAAGCTAGAGAAATAACAGCCAAACTAAGCAAAAGAAGAGAAATAATTAAAATTAGAATAGAGCTCAGTAAGATTAAAAATAGAAAAACAATAAAGAAAATAAACTAATACAAAAGTTATTATTTGAAAATATTAATAAAATTGGTAAAGACTCTAGTCAGGCTAATCAAGGGAGAAAAGAGAGAGAGGACACAAGTTATTAATATAATAAATCAAACAGGGATTGCCATTATTGTTCCTATGGGCATTAAGAGGATATATAAAAGGATACTAAAAACAATTTTCTGTCTCAATATTTGAAAATGTTGATAAAATAGACAAATTTCTTGAGTGACACAAACTATCAATACTCATGCAAGAAAAGATCATCTGAATAGGCCTACATATATTAAAGAAATTGAATCAATAACTAATACTCTTTCATAAAAGAAGTCACCTCAGATTAATTCACTGGTAAATTCTATCAAATGTGAAAGAAAGAAATGATGCCAATTCTTCATAACCTCTTCCAGTAAAATAGAAGCAGATGGAACACTTCCTAAGTCATTTCCTGAGGCTAGCATTACCCTAATTCCAAAAGTAGACAAATGTATTAAAATAAAGGAAAACTATAGACTAATAACTCTCATGAACATAGACACAACATTCTCAACAAATATTTAAACTTGAATCCAACAATAAGTAAAAAGAATAATAATTTTTTTATTTATTATAGAAATAAATAAACAGTAATTTATTCCACAGTGCAAAGTTAGGTCTCCATTTTAAAATTAATCATTGTAATCTACCATATCGATACTCTAAAGGAAAAATTTTTTATAATTATATAAACTGACACAGAAAAAATATTTTACAAAATTTAACAACTAATCTGGATGAAAACTCTCAGAAGGCCAAAAATAGAGGAGAAAAACAGCAATTTAGTAAAGAACATCTGTAAAATCCTACAGTTATGCTAATTCGTGTAGAAAAATGGATACTTTCCTCCAAAGGTCTGGAACAAGGCAAGAATGTCCTCTCATCACTGCTATTCAACACTAGGAAATTCTAGCTAGTACAATTAGAAAATAAAAGCATGAAAATATATGCAGACTAATAAGAAAGACATAAAATGGTCTGTATTCCCAAATATTAAAAAATGCCTTAAATAAGTCAGTATAGCATGGGTCCAGGATAAAATTTAATACTGTATACAAAGTCAACTGCTTTCCCCTGTAACAGCAATGAACAACTAATATTTAAAGGAAAAATAATACCATTTGTAATAGTATCCAAAATAAATAAATAATTGGGTATATACCTACAAAACTATGTACTGACCTATATGTGGAAAACTAAACTCTGATAAAAACCTAAATGAATATTATAAATAAATAGAAAGAGATTTCATGTTCATTGATTGGGAGCCTCAATATAATTAAGGCTCTTCTTACCTGTTTGATCCATAGATTCAGTACAATCCCAATCAAAATTACATCAAGCTATTTTGCCAAAATTGGCACCCTGGTTATAGAGTTTTTATGGTAAGGCAAAAAACTAGAATAACCACCAAATTACTGAAGAAAATAAGGTTGGAGAATACACTCTGCCTTATTTCAACACTTAACCATTAAGCAACAATAATCAAGGTAGCCTGGTATTGACAAAAGAACAAGCATGTAGATCAATGGAACAGAATAGATAGTCCAAACATAGACCCACACAAATGTAGTCAACTAATCTGTGATAAATAATCAAATGTAATTCAAAGCCAAAAGTATAGTCTTCTTATTAATTGGTTTTGGAAGAATTTGATATTCATATGCAAATAAAATGAACATAGGCATTGAATTTACAACTTACACTCTTCACAAAAATTTGATCAAAATGAATTACATACCTAAATGTAAAACACTTAACTACAAAATTTCTAGGAGAAAACATAGGATAAAATGTAGATGACCCTGGGCTTGGCAATACATTTTTTGATACAACACCGAAAGCATAATTCATGACAGAAAATGGAAATTTGGACTTTTTTAAAAGTAAAATCTGCTCTGAAGTGACACTGTTAAGAGAACAAAAATAACTACTTGGAGAAATATTGGCAAAACACATATCTGATAAAGGATTTTTATCCAAATGTAAAAGGATTCTTAAAACTCAATAATAATAAAACAAAGAACTAATTAAACGTGCATAAGATCTGAATAGACAATTCAACCCCCAAAATATACAGATGGTAAATAAACATATAAAAAGGTGTTCAACATCATTTGTCATTAGAAATTTAAGCAAGCAACAATGAGATACCAGTAAATACCTATTTAAATGGCTAAAATCCAAAGAACTCACTGCTACTGCTGGCAAAGATGCAAAGTAATAATAACTCCTGATTAATTGCTGGTAAACATTTTTTAAAAATCATGGTACCACCACTTTGGAAAACAGTTTAATGGTTTCTTCCAAAACTAAGTATAGTTTATTACATTCCAAAGAATTAGTATGGCAATGGAGGCAGGGTTAAAAGAGTGGTGGTGAAACTTGACAAATACTACCTCAAGACAGGTGATCAAGGTTAACATTAATGGTGACTACTTATATACCATATGATGTGATGAAAATGACATTTTACTGCTTCACTTCTTAAAGAAGATTTTACTTCTGTGGCCTTTCTCCCCAGTACATATTACTTTTGTACAACAATGGAAAAGAAATCAGATGAATCATAACTGCAGGGTTTTCTACAAATACTTAACCAATAGTCCTAAAAAAATCTCAAGGTCATCAAAACAAGGCAAGTAACAACCAGGAAGAGCCTAAGAAGATATGACTACTATATGTAATGTAGTAGCCTGAATAGGATCCTAGAAAAGAAAAGGGAACATAATGTAAAAAATGAAAAAGTCTGAATAAAGCATTGACATTAAGTAAAATTCATTAGTTAATATACTAATATTAATTCATTAATTGTGACAAATGTGTTATACTAATATGAAACATTAAAAATCATAGAAACTGGACAATATGGTACACATGAGAACATTCGGCACTCTCTTCCTAATAACTTTGTAAATTTAAAACTCTACTAAATTTTTTTAACAAAATATGTATTTAAAAAGTTAATATAATAAAGATCCATGTGCAGGATTTTCTGGGATGTAATTTTTCAACTTCTTTGAGTTAATACCCAAAGTATGATTTGTGTGAGTTGAGTATGATTATTGGATCACATGGTAAGAGTATGTTTTGTTTTGTAAGACATCCTTATGCTCTTTATAGCAGCTTTATTCATAATTGTCAGAACATGGAAGCAAAACATTTTTGTCTATAAGTCGCATATAGCCTTTGACTTTTATATACTTAAGCTATCTTAATTTCAATGACAGGTCAATGTTTAAACAGAGAACCTTTTTTCATGAAAGCTAAAACATAGACAATGGAAAATAAGTTATACTTATATTTTTTAAAAAATCAATAATCTATAAGACCATATGTGGAGAAAGGAAAAGGAAGTACAAAATAAGGCATAATTTATTTAAAATCTTATTTTATAAAACCAGCTCTGTTTTTTAAAAGCAAATAATGCTGTTGGTAAATGTATGATGCTATGGTCTCATCCATTTCTGTTTAATAATAATATTTTCACCCTCTAGATAACGGCAAAGTTGTCTAGATAATATTTTTTAAGGCAAGCTTAAAGTGTTTCAAAAAAACTAATTTCTTACAGCATATTTTAATATGTCAACAATAATCTCTATACTTTTTTATAATGTCATATATGGAATTATATATTTTGATAAAAATTTAACCACAAGCTAAAGAAATGTTAATACAAAATTTATAATTGAAATTGAAATGATATCTTGAATGGTAAATCTTTTATACTCTATAATCAGTGAGTTACCAAGTGTCATTCTTTACTCCAGTTACAATATATTGATGTTTCTTTCCATTTCCTTTACCACTTTTAATCCATATACTATAGACCAACTGTATAATGGCAACGATAATTTAGGTGTTTTTCTTAAATGTAGTTTTTCCTTATTAAAATATAAAATATTCTAGAAAAAATATATTATCTCTGTTAAGAGATAGGAAATATGATCTTAAAAGAGTTGAATAATGAAACCTCAATGTAATCATTTACATTCTCATTTTAATCATCTACAAAAGAGAAATAACTAACAATACCAATATGCTGTGATGACTCAAATTGAGATGAAGGCTGCATACACCTCCCTTCTCCCACACACAGACAAACGCACATGTATACATGGACATTCACAGATATAGTGATACTATTGTCAATTATTTTCCATTCTAGATTACTTACAGAAAACCGATTTCACTTCACAGAAGACAAACTGTTTCTAATAAGTACTCTTTAATACAGCTATTTAAAATTTCTGAGGCCTACTCATAGAGTGTGTGGATTAAAAAGGAAAATATTTTTAAAATACTGACATATTAAATTTAATCCCTAAACATTTAAGCATGTTAAAAAGCATTATAAAATTATACATTTGTAAGTAGCTGAGTGATGAGCAAAACAAAAAGTTCTGACTTTCCCCCACCCCCAAGCGTAATCCACAATGCACTTCATTCTTCAGCTCATCTGTGACAGTCTTGTGGCTCTTTCTACCTCCTGACATCACTGACCCTTGCACATTCCCTACAATCACTTCATTCCTGACCGTTTATTTACTTTAGGATTATATAAACCTGGGAGAGAGAAATAAGAGGGAATTGAATGAAGGTACATTTCTGCCTATTATTTCTTCTTCAAAAAGGATACTATAATGTGAAGGCACTTGTAGAGTGGTGCTCAAGCTAGAGATCTGAGTTTAAACACAGCTTTATGAAGAAGTTGATGTAGTAAATGAGATTTTAACTCTATTTTGGCAACTTGTTTACTTAATTACTCTTCTTCCATAGACAATTTTTTCAAAGATTTTTTGAATTTGATTTTTCTCTCCCATAATCCCACCATACCACTCAAATCTACCTGCGCTTATAGCATCAACTGACCAGTTACTGAGTTTACCACCATTATGATAATGAAATATAGAAAACTCACTTCATAATTTATAAAAGTGCCAACTCTAAAAATTCTGAAAACCCTTTTCTTTGTTTTTCTTAACAAAATGCAAGGATAATTTGAGATACCTTCTTTCACTTGTCTCTTGAATATTATTGTTCTCCAGGATTGTTTATCATCTTTTGCCTCAGCCGCTTTGTTTAATCCTATGCCTTATTGGCAATCATGTTGTGAATATTCTTTCTCCTAAATTACCTGCCTCCTTTGCCTCAGAAGCCTAACTGGGTGTGTGCATTTGTGTATGAGATGGTAAATGTGACTGAGAACATGTGTTTTGGAGTCAGGTCAATACATGCACCACTGCTTATTGATTGTGTGAGCTTGGGCAAGTCCTTAATCTTTCTGTGCTTCAGTTTTCTCATTTTATTTTTTATTTTTTACTCTTTTTATTCTTATTTCTTTGGACACTATGGTGACTTAAGTTTTCTCATTTTTAAAATGGGGCCATGACTATGTACCTCACAGGATCATTGTCATAATCAAGACAGTGTACTAAAGAAGGACCGGTGTCTCCCAATAGTAGGAGCATAATCGATAAAGTCAGTCACTACTCCCTTAAAAAATATGAATAAATCTGCTGTCTCTTCTCTAGTACTCTCAGTTTTATTTTAAAATTTACCATTTTTTTCCCTTTTCTAGTATCCTTGCTAAAATGTTCATCATTCACACTGCTGGTAGCATTTCTGAAACACACATTTTCACTCCTATAATTTTAGTCCAATCTGTGGTAGGTAAAATTTGTTGCTTACTTTCTAGAGCACAGGCATAAATTATGAGAACTTTTGTATCTGTTAATTTTATCTCTTCTATTTCTAATTTTCCTCTTTGTATATGTTTTGAAAGTACAATGTATAATTTATACAAATAAAAAGCTGCTTATTGTGGAGGTCATACTTCTTAAAGAAGTGAAACATGAAAAATATCAGGTATGTAGAATCAACTACAAGCTTATTAAAGGCTTCCACAGTTCATAATATTGTCTATTGAGTGCAAATAGAAATAAATTACATCCATCATCTCCAATCTCTACTCAACTATCTTTAATTGAATGCCTATTATATGCCAACTATTATAATGAGCATGTTCTATTCAAATTATTTTTTGGCTTATATAAAACTTATTTGTTTAAACTTATTACCTTGTTTTTTTAAAAGATGTAATTTAAGATGACAGCTGTTTGTGAAAGAAGAAATATTGTTCATGTTTTCTTAACTACTGAATTTAAGTTGGACTTTATTTGTTAGAATAACCTAACTACAAAGCTACTATAAAAGTGATACAGTTCATACAGTTCTGAAATTACACATATTTTCCTGTGAATATTTTTCTGGTAACGTAACCTGTCAAGTGATGTTATGGTTGTAATTATGTGAAATGCTGTCAATGGCTCCATCGTAGTTCTGGGTTTCTGGACTTCTTGGCCCAAGAATTTATAAGATATTAATAGTAATATCACCTGGGATAAAATTACTTCCTGATTTTAATCAATATGTGTGTTTAGAATTGAGGAGAATGCCATTTGGCTTGCTATTTTGACAGGGTTTGAAGAATGTCTTTATAAATGAAAAACTGAGACACATAACATCATACCTTTGGGGTCAAAATTACATCACCTTTTTCAAATTTATAATGTTTATATTACTCTAGTTCCCAATAAAATCCAAAGCATTTTGTATTCAGCATGTATAGATATACATTGACTTAATAGATGTTTTTGTGTTAGTGTTTTTTTTCCTTTGCTGCTATTTTCATTTATTTAAATTTTCACAAGGTGGAAATGCAATGCATCAAGCCACTTTCTCTTTGAAAACATAAATGCACAATAATTAGAGACCCAGCGTGCTCTAAGAACCATGGGATTAGCCCCACAATAATGTGGGCTCACATCTGCAGTCAGTCTAAAAATGTCACATAGGCCTAATTTTGCTTCAATGCAAATGTAATTTGTTTCCTCGCATTTACATGTGGAAATAAATTTGTGACTGTGTTTAACTCATTTGCTATTTAATCTTTAGTGTATCCTTTTCAACTAAGCTGCTGGGAAAATAATACACCTGTGCAGGTTGCTACTACTGTAAATTTGTGATTTACAGGTACAAAAGTATTTCAATATTGCCTAGTGATTCATATCTTTCTCTAAAACCTCACTTTCTCTCTTGTGATTTCTGAACACTTGTGCTAGAAAATCACTCAGATAGACCTTAAACTGAGCGTATGCACAAGTGAATCAGACTTCTCCCCTCTTCCTTGCCGTCTTACTGCTCCAACTGGTCTTCCTGGATTTTCTTCTCTTTCTTTAGGCCAACAGCCTTGGAGATGTAGTAATTCTACCATTTCAATATTTATGGACTTCACGAGTGTTATATTTGTATTGCCTCTGTACTAATTAGTCTTCATTATTGTTTCACTACATTAGTGTTGTTTTCTCCTCCACAAGTGTCTCAATTCTTTTAATTGCACTCACCAATATGTTCCTCACCTTGAAACTAGACTAATGCTATTAAATTATAGTGAGTTCTCAATGTAGTTGACAGGTTCTTCAAAATTGTGACTTTAAGCAAAACGACACAACATGTTGGTCCTCAACATCTTTTCCTTCTCTGTCTTTTCATTAAAACATTGAAGAGAGAACAAAATTGATTTTGTCATATGTTGTTTTGCTTGAAGTCGCAGTTTCCAAGAACCTATGGACAAAGTTAAGTGAGGATTTATTTATTTATTTATTTTGTTAATCATCCATGTGAAATCTTCAAGAGGCTCTTCATTGCTCTCGAATAAAATATGAGCTCCTTTACTGAGAATGGCTGCTCCTTCTTGATATAATCTCTTCCTAAATGGAGTGCTTATCTTTAATTGTAATTCCTTTTCCCTCTTTGATGAGAAAGCTCCACTTCTCTTACTTCCTTAAAGGCATCCAGTGTCACATTCACCTCAAAATCTTTAGATGTAGATGCTCTCTCCTGGAACATTTTTCCTTTGGCAATTTTCCCAGGTGATTCCGTTTTATCATTTTAGCTTAGATTTTGTTTCCTGGATTGGACTAAATGTCCTTGCTACATGTCTCAGACTGTTAGACTATTTTGTTGATAGCAATTTGATGATGTTCCTTGTCTAATGATCTGTCTCCTTCATTGAGTTCTTAATTCCTTCCATTGATACCCTATTCCAACTGATTATTGATGAATCCTGGTACTGAGCATATTGCCTTGCACATAGATTGAGCTCAAATTTACTTGTTTGAATTATTTTTTAAACCTTTAGCAAGATTGATAATTTAAATCTATAAAATTAACAAGGTGATTAATATATTTGAAATTGACATGATTATGTAGAACATTGAATTATGTAGAAGTTGTATTTTATCTTTCTATATGCATATTTGTGTTATTTGTCACATGAATTTATATTTCATAGATTTATAATATGTAGAACTGAAATTGCAAAGAGGTAATTTATAATTCAAATTTGATTTCTGCCTGATCTAAAATACCCATTAAAATGTTAGACTTACCATAAAGATTTGATATGAATTAACAAATAAATTATATAATGGCATACCATAATGTATTTTAACAACATTTAATTGATCTTTATAGTACAGTAGAAAATGCCGATATTTTGAATCTGACAAACCTGAATTTTAATCCAACATATACCACTTACCTGCTGGATGAAATTGTACAATAACAAAAATAAAAGCTACTATTTATTGAGTGACTCATATATGTTTACGTAGTCATTCCATCTTCAATACTACCTTGTTAATTAGGTGTACTTCTCCCTGGTGTACCTATTTGAAAGTGGAGAGAATTAAATCTCAGGTTGCCTAAGGACATTAAACAAATGAATAACATAACTGAGATCCAAAGAACACGTTTTTTTCACTAACATCATTTACCTTTCCTCTCAAAATTTGAGTTTAATTGTGAGGATTGCAGTTTATTTGTTAATCAAGTAGTAGAGTGATTTGTACAGAGAAAACCTTCAATAATTGGTAGTTACCTTTTAAAAAAAAATAGGTCAATATATTAAACTCAGAAATCCTTTATGTTTTCTTGCCCTCTGGAACAACAGAATTGATGGGCTGACCCCTCCTTTCAGTTACTACCATTTAACTTATATTTATTTTTACTTTATTTACTTATATTTATAATCTTTTCATTACTGCTTTTTGACTTTCTTTTCCCTCTTTATCTGGCACCTTCCACCATTCCTACAGAAGACTCATTCTAGGTTAGTCATTTGCACAACAGAATTTTCATATATATGGGAGTTCCCATCCTCTGGATTATCATAAAAGGAACATGATTATCACTATGAGTTATTTTAAGGCTTATTTTTATATAAAATATTACATGAAAAATATGTTTAAATGGTGTTTACTCTTCTACGTTTTAAAGGTGTTTTTTGAAAACTAATCAGAAGAGGAATGCTTATCTCCCAAGAAAATTGAAACCATCTGTAAAAGAATCTTGGCTGTGCTGTGTTTTGATTAGATTGAAGCTTGGTGTAAAGAGAAAACACAAAAGACCGCAGTAAGTTGCTGGCTTAATTATGTCATGAAACCAGAACTTTTCAGAATCAGGTGACTATATAAAGCTTGACCAGATCAACATATCTTGATCATGTTTTTCTTGGCCTTCTTTCCCAAAGAAGGTCCCCAGCTGCTGGTGACACTATCTTTGCAGTGTAGGCTCTTATGAAATCCACAAAAAGAGCTAGCATTTTCTATATTATTAATTTAGGGAAAACTTCACTAACAATATATGTTTTTTTCTGTTTAAAGGAATATTTACAACATTTGAATTCCTGTTTCTCCATCAAAGCACATTGTCATCAAAGCTACTTTGGGTATAGAAAAAAGGTCAATTCCAATTCCCAGGAATCCTTAACCACAACTTTACTTGGAAATTTCCGGTAATACTTAAAACACCATTTTGCAGCAATTCTTTATGATAAACTGTAAAATACAGCTACCCGAAAATGACTGACAAATCAATCGTCATTCTGAGCCTGATGGTTTTTCACAGCTCTTTCATAAATGGAAAAACATGTAGACGGCAATTGGTGGAAGAATGGCATCCACAACCCTCATCATATGTGGTAAATTGGACACTAACAGAAAACATCTGCTTGGACTTCTACAGAGATTGCTGGTTTTTGGGTGTAAACACTAAAATAGATACTTCAGGCAATCAAGCTGTTCCCCAGATTTGCCCTTTGCAAATTCAATTAGGAGATATCCTTGTAATTTCTTCTGAACCATCTCTTCAATTTCCAGAAATAAATTTGATGAATGTTTCTGAAACATCTTTCGTTGGCTGTGTGCAAAATACCACAACGGAAGATCAGTTACTTTTTGGCTGCAGACTAAAAGGAATGCACACTGTTAATTCTAAGTGGCTGAGTGTTGGGACACATTATTTTATCACAGTTATGGCAAGTGGTCCATCACCTTGTCCACTGGGACTTCGACTAAATGTGACAGTGAAACAGCAGTTCTGCCAGGAATCTCTGAGTTCAGAATTTTGCTCTGGTCATGGTAAATGTCTTAGTGAAGCTTGGAGCAAGACATATAGCTGCCATTGCCAGCCTCCATTTTCTGGAAAATACTGCCAGGAACTTGATGCATGTTCTTTTAAACCATGTAAAAATAATGGCAGTTGCATTAATAAAAGAGAAAATTGGGATGAGCAAGCATATGAATGTGTCTGTCACCCACCATTTACAGGTAAGATTGTTTAAAATATATAATTTTATTAAAATAGAGAAACACAGTGCATTTATAAACTGTTAACAGAAATCAAAGTACATTTTAAATGCGGTGGCTCACACCTGTAATCCCAGCACTTTGGGAGGCCGAGGTGGGTGGATCACGAGGTCAGGAGAGCGAGACCATCCTGGCTAACACGGTGAAACCCCGTCTCTACTAAAAATACAAAAAAAAAATTAGCCGAGCATGGTGGAGGGCGCCTGTAGTCCCAGCTACTCCGGAGGCTGAGGCAGGAGAATGGGGTGAACCCGGGAGGTGGAGCTTGCAGTGAGCCGACATAGCGCCACTGCAGTCCGGCCTGGGCAAAAGAGCGAGACTCCGTCTCAAAAAAGATAAAAATAAAAATAAAATAAAATAAATAAATAAAAATAAATAAAAAATTTAATAGATTCCTTGGATTTGGCTGGATATAGATTCTGGACATATACAAATCCTATCAGGGATCCTCCAAAATAAGCTTTTTGCTTAACTGAAGGAGGGCTCTTAGAAACATGTTTAATAGTGAAATATCTATATTTACATCTTTCCCAACATCCATTCTTAACGTCTCATACATTAAAACATAAGATTATCAGAATAATATAAAAGCTTTTAGTCACTGAATGAATTCCCAAGATTATGGTATTTAGATAGGTGATAACTTGAAAATAAATTATGCATCTCAGTAGAGGAAGTTAGGGAACTATGGTTGAAGGGAAGTGATTGAAGCTGCTTGGCAGGATTGGAGAGGAACAGATAATTGTGAGCCAAGAGCAATGTTTTAAATGGATGTTGGTGTGGCATCCAAATGGTGATTTATAACTGATAGTGACAAGGATGGAAAGAAGATGTTATAATTAATAACGGTTGTAATAAGCTCAATAAAAGGCAATAATCAGAAAAGGTTGTAAAAAGATGTTTGGTGAGTAATTAAGCCAGAGGAAAGGCAATCTAAAAAAAAATGTAAATGATGCTGCCTGAGGCTAACGTGAAGTTTGAAGGGAATAAAACTCTCTCTACTTGAGAATATACTAGAGGATTCTGGGGTCATCGGAGGAAAGTGAGGAGAAAGACTGAAAAAATGTAGGGAACATTTAAAGCTTGGAAACTTGTGGAAGAATTTATTTGAGGGTTTGACAGACCTGGCATGGAGAGTTACAAGTGAAATAAGACCACGATGATCTAACAAAGAGAAATATTTGACACAGCTGATAATAATAGTATACGAAAACAGCAGATTGGTATGTATTTTGGTCATAAAAGAGGAAGGAAGGTTAAAGCAGAGCTATATCTAGAGCAGATCACCTGCAGGGATTTAACTGTAATTTTGTTAGGCAGGCTTTAGGGGGATTCCTTCTCCCCTGTGCCTGAGGCTGACTCCATTGGAGCCAAGTTTAAAGAGGCTGTGTGATAACATGTAATGGGAGCCGACTTGGAGGCGGCTCATGCCTATAATCCCAGCACTTTGGGAGGCCGAGGCAGGCGGATCACCTGAGGTAAGGAGTTCAAGACCAGCCTGGCCAACATGGTGAAACCCCGTCTCTACAAAAATACAAAAATTAGCTGGGCATAATGGCGGGTGCCTGTAATCCCAGCTACTCGGGAGGCTGAGGCGGAAGAATCCCTTGAACCAGGAGGTAGAGTTTGTAGTGAGCTGAGATCGCGCCATTGCACTCCAGCCTGGGCGATGAAGGGAGACTGTCTCAAAAAATAAAATAAGATAAAATAAAAAGATGTAATAGAAGACCTCAATAAGCCATTGTAGGCTGTAAAATTCACCTCATCCAATCTTTCAAATAGTCATTTTGAACTTGATAGCTTAGTACCAAGATTATTATAGAAGTTAATACCAATAATAGCCACTGAATATATTGTCTCTATAACGTGGATCAAATTCTCATTTGACTGTGTTGGCATTGGTGATAGAAGGTGCAAGTTATACCTCTTCTTTCCGCTGGGGTATATCAGGTGATTAAAGTTAAGGCAGACTAGAGGAAATGTGAAAACACTCAAACTGCTGATTTGGAGTGAATGATAAAGCAATTTAATAGACAGTCTTTAAAGCATCCATTTTCACCTGTCCAAAGAGTTTTAAAGAACATTTGGCCAGAAAATTTCTACCATGTGTCAGAATATTAATTTGCGTGTATGCATTCATAGTTTATGGGATATTATTTTAGTGGTTTTATTATAACTGCATAGAATGGTTTGCTTCCTACTCAATTTCCTTCCTTCCTTCCTTCCTTCTTTCCTTCTTTGCTTCCTTCCTTCCTTTCTCTCTTTCTTTCTTTCTCTTTGTTTGTTTGTTTCTTTCTTTCTTCTTTCTTTCTCTCTCTTTCTCTTTCTTACAGCCATAGGTGCTTTAAATCGTTAAGCTTTGAGCACTATAAAATACCTAAATAATGCTTACTTATTTTTATAACATTAAGAATACTCCATTTGCCACTTTAATTATAAATAATTACTTCAATTTTAAAAATCGAAGAAGATAATGAAATATGTAGAATTGTCAAAACAATTGAGAATGCTTACTGCATTAATTTGCTAGAGCTGTCATAACAAAGTACCATAGACTGGATGGCTTAAACAGAAACTTATTTTCTCACAGTTTTAGATGCCAAAAGTCAAAGATTGGCAGATATGGTTTCTTCTGAGATCTATTTGCTTGGTCCATAGACTGCTGTCTTCTCCCTGTGTCTTTACATTGTCATTTCTCTGTATGTATCTGTGTGTAAATGTTCTCCTCTTGAAAGCACACCAGTCACATTGGATTAGGACGCACCCTACTGACCTTATTTAACCTTAATTGCGTACTTCTCTAAAGATATTATCTCCAAATATAGATACTCTGTGATGCTGAGGGATAGGACTTCAACATATGAATTTGGCGGCGGTGGGTGGGCACAATTTAGCTCATAAAACTCACTAAGTTTTAATTAGGGTGTGGCCTATTGGCATTATACTGTTAATTTAATTTTTATGTTTGGAGAACCTTTTGAAACACAATGATTTTTATTTATATTTTCATTATTTATATTTTCATTACATTTAGGGTTGCTTGGAGGCAAATGAAGAAAAAAGTTCTGCATTAGTGAGGCAGGGATGTCAGTATATAAGGAATTTGAAAGACATCAATGATAATGGCAAAAACTGCTCATAAATTAAATTAAGAGCTTAATTAAACTGGGGAAAAAAACATATTGCCAAATTACATGCAGTTGGTTTGTAACAGCATTTGTCCACTTGCTATGCCCTGGGATTTTCAAGGCACATTCCTCTACTAAGGTATTATAAGATGATTAAATATGCATAGAATGAGTATGTTATGGAAGGCTGTGTGTGTGTGTGTGTGTGTGTGTGTGTGTGTGTGTATATAACTGATATAGTGGGACCACAATAGTATGTGTAAGTGAGATTTGGAAAATTTGATATGCCAGCAAGTGCAAAGAAGTGTTGAATTTGGAAGTTTGTGCACATATTCTGAGAATCCAGGCAGCCATTTCTGCTTTTGAATTGTTCCCTTGGCTAGGGGGTAAGTCTGAGAAACAGTACACATTTGAATGTGTCATTTTGTAAATTATCACTGCAATACTATCAATGTATGTTGAAAAACTGGTACTTAAATATATGAATATTATCTATCATGAAAATACAATTAAAATTTTAAAATATTATGTAAATTAAATAAAGCTCAAATACTACAAGCCAGAAAAAATATTTGGATATTATAGTCTGGGGTCAGAAGATGAAAAACTTATGTAAAGTATCAAAATTAATTTTTATTTCAATTTAAATGCATCATCGTATAACATGGTTTCATAACTGAAATTACATTAGTCAGAATTTGATATTTTCATTATTAAAGAATTGAGGGAAAACTGATGGTTATAATATTGATATCCAATGTAAAAAAAACTTTTTTTCATTGTTATAGGAAAGAATTGCTCAGAAATAATTGGCCAGTGTCAACCACATGTCTGTTTCCATGGAAACTGCAGCAATATTACTTCAAATAGTTTCATTTGTGAATGTGATGAGCAATTTTCAGGTAAAAAATGCATATGTATACAACCATATACACAAGTAACTTTAATTTTATCTATGTATTTCAAATTAAATGTGAAATATTTCCTTTATTATTGAAAAATACAATTTCAGAAGGTATATATACTGAACTCTTTTATGGTAAAGTTTAATAAATCAATTTGGTTAATACAATTAAATCATATTACTGCTAAATGTTTTATAGCATAAGAAGAGTCTGAACAACAGTTCACATGCTTTTCACCATAAAATTACTTACATCTTTCTTCAGACTTGCATTTATGACCAATGAATTTGAAATTGTTCATGTGTTTATTTGACACTTCTTAACCATTACATTTTAAATTATGGACATTTTCACTGAACACATGTTGAGGTTTCTGTTAATTTCTTTAAAAAAAGTCTGCTAAAGGAAGATATTATTACATCTTTTTTTGATATAAAATATGCAGATGAAATATATATTTTTAAATTACACTTTAAGTTCTGGGTTACATGTGAAGGATGGGCAATTTTGTTACATAGGTATGCCATGTGCCATGGTGGTTTGCTCACCCATCAACCCGTCACCTATATTAGGTATTTCTCCTAATGCTATGCCTCCTCTAGCCGCCAACCCCCAACAGGCCCCAATGTGTAATGTTCCCCTTCCTGTGTCCATGTGTTCTCATTGTTGAACCCCCATTTATGACTGAGAACTTCCAGCGTTTGGTTTACTGATCTTGCGATAGTTTGCTGAGAATGATGGTTTCCAGCTTCATCCATGTCCCTACAAAGGACATGAAATCATCCTTTTTTTTTATGGCTGCATAGCATTCCATGGTGTATATGTGCCACATTTTCTTTATCCAGTCTATCATTGATGGACATTTGGGTTAGTTCCAAGTCTTTGCTATTGTGAATTGTGCTGCAGTAAACATATGTGTGCATGTGTCTTTATCGTAGAATGATTATAATCCTTTGGGTATATGCCCAGCAATGGGATTGCTGGGTCAAATGGTATTTCTAGTTCTAGATCCTTGAGGAATCACCATACTGTCTTCCACAATGGTTGGACTAATTTACACTCCCACCAACAGTGTAAAAGCATTCCTATTTTTCCACAACCTCTCTAGCATCTGTTGTTTCCTGACTTTTTAATGATCACCATTCTAAATGGCATAAGATGGTATCTCATTGTGGCTTTGATTTGCATTTCTCTAATGACCAGTGATGATGAGCATTTTTTCACATATCTGTTGGCTGCATAAAGATATTCTTTTGCAAAGTGTCTGTTCATATCCTTCGCCCATTTTTTGATGGGGTTGCTTGCTTTCTTCTTGTAAATTTGTAAGTTCTTTGTAGATTCTGGTTATTAACCCTTTGTCAGATGGATAGATTGCAAAATTTTTCTCCCATTCTGTAGGTTGCCTGTTCACTCTGATGACAATTTCTTTTGCTGTGTGGAAGCTCTTTAGTTTAGTTAGATCCCATTTGTCAATTTTGGCTTTTGTTGCCATTGCTTTTGGTGTTTCAGACATGAAGTCTTTGCCCATGCCTATGTCCTGAATGGTATTCCCCAGGTTTTCCTCTAGGATTTTTATGATTCCAGGTCTTATGTTTAAGTCTTTGATCCATCTTGAGTTGATTTTTGTATAAGGAGTAAGGAAGGGGTCCAGTTTTAGTTTTCAGCATATGGCTAGCCAGTTTTCCCAACACCATTTCTTAAATAGAGAATCTTTTCCCCATTGCTTGTGTGTGTCAGGTTTGTTGAAGACCAGATGATGGTAGATGTGTGGTGTTATTTCTGAGGTCTCCATTCTGTTCCATTGGTCTATATATCTGTTTTGGTACCAGTACCATGCTGTTTTGGTTACTGTAGCCTTGTAGTAAAATTTGAAGTTAGGTAGCATGATACCTCCAGCTTTGTTCTTCTTGCCCAGGATTGTCTTGGCTATGTGGGCTCTTTTTTGGTTCCATATGAAGTTTATAGTAGATTTTTCCAATTCTGTGAAGAAAGTCAGTGGTAGCTTGATGGGGATAACATTTAATCTATAAATTACTTTGGACAGTAAGGCCATTTTCAAGATATTGATTCTTCCTATCCATGAACATGGAATGTTTTTCCATTTGTTTGTGTCCTCTCTTATTTCCTTGAGCAGTGGTTTATAGTTTTCCTTGAAGACGTCCTTCACAAAATGAAGGCAGAAATAAAGATGTTTTTTGAAACCAATGAGAACAAAGACACAACGTACCAGAATCTCTGGGACACATTGAAAGCAGTGTGTAGAGGGAAATTTATAGCCCTAAATGCCCACAAGAGAAAGGAGGAGAGATCTAAAATCGACATCCTAACATCACAATTAAAAGAACTAGAGAAGCAAGAGCAAACACATTCAAAAGCTAGCAGAAGACAAGAAATAACTAAGATCAGAGCAGAACTGAAGGAGATAGAGACATAAAAAACTTTGAAAAAATCAATGAATCCAGGAGCTGGTTTTTTGAAAAGATCAACAAAATAGATATACCACTAGCCAGACTACTAAAGAAGAAAAGAGAGAAGAATTAAATAGATGAAATAAAAAATGATAAAGGGGATATCACCATCGATCTCACAGAAATACAAACTACCATCAGAGAATAGTATAAACACCTCTATGCAAATAAACTAGAAAATATAGAAGAAATGGATAAATTCCTGGACACATACACCCTCCCAAGACTAAACCAGGAAGAATTTGAATCTCTGAATAGACCAGTAACAGGTTCTGAAATTGAGGCAATAATTAATAGCCTACCAGCCAAAAAAAGTCCAGGTCCCGATGGATTCACAGCCAAATTCTACCATAAGTACAAAAATGAGCTGGTACCATTCCTTCTGAAACTATTCCGATCAATAGAAAAAGAGAGAATCCTCCCTAACTCATTTTATGAGGCCAGCATCATCCTGATACCAAAGCCTGGCAGAGACAAAACAAAAAAATAGAATTTTAGGTCAATATCCCTGATGAACATTGACGCAAAAATCCTCAGTAAAATACTGGCAAGGAGAATCCAGCAGCACATCAGAAAGCTTGTCTACCAAGATCAAGTCGGCTTCATACCTGAGATGCAATGCCAGTTAAACATACGCAAATCAACAAATGTCATCCATTGCATAAACAGAACCAACAACAAAAAGCACATGATTATCTCAATAGATGCAGAAAAGGCCTTCGACAAAATTCAACAGCCTTTCATGCTAAAAACTCTCAATAAACTAGGTATCGATGGAATGTATGTCAACATAATAAGAGCTATTTATGACAAACCCACAGCCGGTATCATACTGAATGGGCAAAAACTGGAAGCATTCCCTTTGAAAACTGGCAGAAGACAAGGATGTCCTCTCTCACCACTCGTATTCAACATAGTGTTGGAAGTTCTGGCCAGGGCAATCAGGCAAGAGAAGGAAATAAAGGTTTTCAAATAGGAAGAGAGGAAGTCAAATTGTCTATTTTTGCAGATGACATGATTGTATATCTAGAAAACCCCATTGTCTGAGCCCAAAATCTCCTTAAGCTGATAAGGAACTTCAGCAAAGTCTCAGGATACAAAATCATTGTTGAAAAATCACAAGCATTCCTATATACCAATAACAGACAAACAGAGAGCCAAATCATGAGTGAACTCCCATTCACAATTGCTACAAAGAGAATAAAATACCTAGGAAAGAACTTACAAGGGATGTGAAGGACCTCTTCAAGGATAAAATATTTTTGTAGGAGTTCTATATTTTACTTATTCAAAATCAGTTTGTTAGATAACATTTTCCAAGATATTCATGAAGTAAATGATTTCTATTTATTATTCTTTAGAACGTTTGGCTAAATTTAGATACTGCAAAGTTGTTGACTCTCTCAATTTATTTCCATTATGCTCTAGTATGTAAGTTTATCCTTGAAATTTAGGAGCCCCCTCAAATGCTTCCCACAAGCCCAGCTATTCCAAAGCACTGTTATAATATTTAAAATCTTAGATACTTTTGAAGTCTTATTAAATTTGCTAAGTGTCTTTCTTGAATCATGGAGGAATAAACTTCAATGCTTTATCTAAAAAATGCAACTTACTGTAATGTTCAAAAACTGATTTCTTTGGTACTTAAATTTTTTTAGCTGTTTAATCAAATTTTTGAAACTGATTTTGAGCAAGATGCAGCTAGAGCATTCTGTTACCAAAATGTCAAAGCTTCCCTGCACCCTTAGATTCATTTTCAAAGTCATTCTTTAGAGACTTAAACATTTCTAAACTTTGAATGTTGATGAAAAGAAGCAAGAAAAAAAGCACATTATGCCATGTTACAATTTTTTCAATAATAGTTTTGTCACAACAAATTAGTTCCATTACTCTATAAGTATTTAAAATTATTTGTGAATTTTGCAACTACAGTTTTTATTTTAGTTGTGTGAATATCATGACTGATTTGAAACAAAATATGAACTATGTGTGAACCACAATACATTTCCTATATTTTCTGCTCCACATTTTTCTATATTTGATCAAAACAATGTATTATGCCACATACTTAACAAAATGTGTATTTAAAATTTCACCACAGGAACCAATAACTTTATTTTTGAATATTGTTTGCTAAATTCACAAATTCCCAATGGCACTACCAATATTGTCAGATGTCCTGCCTTTGACAGAATAAACTTGCAAAACTTTATTTTAATTTAATGAATTGGAGGGAAAAAGAAAACCATTGTTGGAATTAACTGATTATCAGTTTGAAGTTTCTGCTTTTATTAATATGGCTCACATTTTTTTTTTTGTTTGAGGCAGTCTCACTGTTTCACCCAGGTTGGAGTGCAGTGGTGAATCTCGGCTCACTGCAACCTCCGCCTCCAAAGCTCCAGTGAGTTGCCTGTCTTACGCTCCCAAGTAGCTTGAATTATAGGTGCATGCCACCACAGCCGGCTAAGTTTTGTATTTTTAGTAGTGACGGGATTTCGCCATGTTGGCCAGGCTGGTCCCAAACTTTTGTCCTCCAGCGATCCACTTGCCTTGGCCTCCCAAAGTGCTGGAATTACAGGAGTGAGCCACCACGCACAGCCAAAGCTGGCATTTTTTAACTGTAAGTGAAGTTGTCTACTAGCTGAGCTGACACTTTGACAACTATCACTTTACTTTTTGTATGCACAGAGGAACTTGCAATAAAAAATGAGAAAAATAATTTTGGGACAGTCATTTGATCTAAATGAAAAGACGTGCTTCACAGAGTGATATGTAAGAAGACCTTCTGCTTATGCACCTAGCTCATCATCAGAAGACAGTCTTCTAAAATATTTACTAACATTTTTAAAAGTAGATGCTGATGATTGCTCAATTAATGTATGCATTCTGGTTTGTATACAGTCAGTAATGTCACTAATATCCTACAGTGGATCATTAATAGTGGCACAGTTTAGGGGCAACTACATATTCATCATTGATTTTCTAGGGAAACAAATTTGAAACATAGTTTTATTAAAAAGTAAGTATTTATTGTAGAATAAGAAATGTTCATCAGTGCATAGTAAAATATGTAAATAGTTGTAGATTTATACCAAGGGCTGGCAAATTTTTCTGTAAAGAGTTAGATAGTAAATATTTTAGACTTCTTGATCCATATGGTCTCTATCACAATGATTCAACTCTGCTATTGCAGCATGAAAGCAGCCATAGACAAACATAAATGTGTGGATTTCACTATATCAATAAAACTTTGTTTACAAAAATAGGTGGAAGGCCTTATTCAGCTCACAGCTATAGTTTACTGACCACTGTTTTGTACCACACAATAATTGACCAAACCTCTATAGCAAGAACATACAGACAAATATCTATAAACCCTATGACAAAACTAGTAGCCTCAATTTTCCTCTCACATATAACATAGACATAACTCATAATTTCCTGTCGTTCCTACTGACCAAGCTCACTGGCAGCCTGGAAACATTGTGCTGGAAGAGTAGCATTATTAGTAGCTTCTCTGCATACCAACTGAAATAAGGAGGAATTACCTACTTTTGTCTGCTTGGGTCTTCAAAGTCCAACAAGCTGTCTTTGAATGATTGATACAATAAAATCTGCATCTGGAAAGCATTGAAAAAGAGAGGTGTGTTATTACTGGTTATATTACCATATTATCCTCATGTTAAAAATAATTTTCTGCTTATGTATAACTCTATATCTCACACTTCTGGAAAAGATGATGGCAGAATATAAAATACCAAGTGGTGATTTATCAAACTCATCCCTATTTGTTTTAGTGCAACCATAAATAATAGTACTTGGTTAAAACATCCAGGACAAATGGCATTTTAATATTTGGAGAGAACTGAGATACTTCAGCAATATTCTGTCTTCTACCCCATGAGCATAAACTGGTGCTATCTTGAGCAAACTAGAATGATTACCCTATAAAGGTTTGGTAACTATAATAGGGTTTTTTTTTTTTGAAATATTTTGAGATGTACAGCCTGTGCCAAATGTGTACAGGAAGCATCACATTTAAAAGATGTATAAAATATGTCTATATCTATCCATCGGATATGGCTTGACTGTGTCCCCACCCAAATCTCATCTTGAATTCCCACGTGTTGTGGGAGGGAGCCGGTAGGAAGTAATTGAATCATGGGGGCACATCTTTCCCATGCTGTTCTCATGATAGTGAATAAGTCTCACGAGAGCCGATGGTTTTAAAAAAAGGAGTTCCTCTGCACAAGCTCTCTGTCTTTGCTTGCTGCCATCCATGTAAGATGTGACTTGCTCCTCCTTGCCTTCCACCAGGATTGTGAGGCTTCCCCAGCCACGTGGAACTGTAGGTCCGTTAAACTTCTTTCTTTTGCAAATTGCCCATTCTCAGGTATGTCTTAATCAGCAGCATGAAAATGAACTAATACACCATCTATCTCTTTATTTGATACATATTTTCTAATATTTTATTATGGGTTTCTTCAAAACTCTTCAGAAACCAATATATGTACATTTTTCTACCATGATCAACTGTGCATATTAATATATATTATTTGAAATATGAGTCTGGATTCATAATCAATATTATGTTCTAATGAGCCATAGTAAAACCATAGAAAATTAATATTCCTAATGCCGTATCAACCAGTGATTATTATAAAATTAGCCATTATGTCAAGTTCTCATTGCTCTTGAATTTCCTTCCAAACAGAATTTTGGAATTCATATCATTTGGAATATTATAATTGTCATACCTAAAGCAGTTTAATAACTGACATTTAATGCAAATTTACATTAAGGCTGCAAATAAATATGGTGTAGAGCATGCCAATCATATTTCAAAACTTAAGAGCCCTTAGAAAAACAAATTCTTGATTTTTCAGATATTTCACATATTGTGAAATAGAGTACAAATAAGAATCATTAGCCATAAGGTCAAACTTCAATTTCAAACATTATAAAAGTAAAATTAAGAATTAAAATATAATATAAAACCACATGAAAATGTATTCTTAATTGTAATCCCAAATTTGAAATGTTATGTAAGATTTATGCATCCATTAGAAAGTGATTTATTCAAATTTTATAACTATAAGATTTATTGCTAAATTTTTAAATGTGTATTTTTGATTAATGCCAGGAAATGTTAAAATTATTATGCTATACATTATTAGTTAATGACACATTTTCAAGTGTGAATTTGATGTAGAAACAGGTGATTGTCAGAAAATAAACTGTTTTTAGTTTCACTAAATTAAAGCTACCATAAACATTTAGTTTCAAGATAGGAAAGTTTATTTGTAAGGATGCTGGGATGTTTGAATCCAAGATGAGTGATGTTAAAAAGGTTTTGCAATGGCATTCAATGATGGTAACTTCAGCTACCATTTTGGACAGATAACAAGAGATCCAATCTGACTAGTAGAGAATAGTGTAAGACATTTAGTTAGCAGTTTAGATCAGAGGGTAGACAGAATATTTTCCAATGTAAAGTACATATTTCTCCATTTGAGTAATCCTCACCAGTGGGTAGAATTTGTGAAGAATAGAATTTTGCTCATGGAAAGAAAAGCAGGCAGGAGCTAAATCAGATATAACTTTCTTCATTTTTAATAATTGAACTTTAATCCTATTTTGAGACTCAATTCTGATAGAGTTTGGAAAATTAATCTCTGTCAATTTAACCCTATCTCTAACCCCCTGCCATGCAGAGAATTGAACTAGTCCTTGCTCTCATAAGTGGAATTTTAAAAAATAATGGAGTCACATGAGCTGATAAGCACACATGTATAGTCAATGTTAAAGCTTAGTATTTATAAAATTTGGAATGATAATTTATGGCAAATGTTTAACACATTTAATAATGTAAATAATTTTTAAGGCATTGAATAGGCAGGTGTTTATATAAGCTTATTCTAGGTTGCTATTAGTTTTACATTGTCAAACTTTATTTTGTAGCATTTTTTCTTCTTGTTTCTCTAGTCACTATGATAATTATTAGCATTGATGGTGACTGTTATTTCCAAACACAGCATAATCCACAATAACACAACATTTAAAAGCAAAGGCTCTGTATCAATTACTAACATGAAAAATTTCCTTTGCTACCGTATTCCATCCAGATAAAGAACTGAGTCTTCCTCTGAATCTTCCAATTAATTTCTTCCATTGTGATGAATCCTCCATAGATTTATTGGCAAAACATTATTTCCAAGTGTTCTCCACCCTACTATAAATTGTCTCAAAATTGGACTGGGCGCAGTGGCTCACGCCTGTAATCCCAGCAGTTTGGGAGGCCGAGGCGGATGGATCATGAGGTAAGGAGATCGAGACCATCCTGGCTAACACAGTGAAATCCCATCTCTCCTAAAAAAATAAAAAATAAAAAATAAAAATACAAAAAATTAGCCGAGCGTGGTGGCGGGCACCTGTAGTCCCAGCTACTCAGGAGGCTGAGGCAGGAGAATGGCGTGAACCCGGGAGGCGGAGCTTGCAGTGAGCCGAGATCGCGCCACTGCACTTCAGCCTGGGCAACAGAGCGAGACTCCGTCTCAAAACAAAACAAACAAAACAAACAACAAACAAAAAATTGTCTCAAAATAGTTTGTGTCTGCCAACAAGGTAGTGTATACTATACTTAATAAATAGTAATTATTGATAATTATGAGATCTCAGGATGCTAATGAAACTTTATTGCTTGTATTGAGAAATGAGAGTGTAAATTGATTATAAAATGAAAAGAGCTGAATGCTTAATAAAGCATAAATTTAGCTAAAATTATTAAACAGATATACATATATGCCAATTTGAATGTCTTTTTATTGTTGTTCAATGTATAGAATACTTATTTTTTCCTTTTGCTTTTTTTGGTTGACACTTAATAATTATATTTATAAGATACAGAGTGATATTTTGATATATCTGTACAATATGTAAGGATCAAATCAGAGTAATTAACTTATCCATCACTTCAAGCATTTATCATTTCTTTGTGTTGTGAACATTCAGAATACTCCCTTCTAGCTTTTTGAAAATATATAATAAATTACGGTTAACCACATTCACCTTACAATGTTGTAGAACACCATAAACCATTCCTTCTATCTAGCTATAATTTTGTATCCAGTAACCAAACTGTCCCTATCCTCCTTCTCCCTACCCTTCCCAGCATCTAATACTCACAATTCTACTCACTACTTCCATGAGCTCAAATTTTATTTAGTTCTCCCATATGAGTGAGAACATGCAGTATTTATCTTTCTGTGCCTGACCTATTTCGCTTAATATAATATCCTACAGGTTTATCCATGTTGCCAGGAATGACAGGATTCCATTCTTTTTATGACCGAATAGTATACCATTGTGTATATAGACCACATTTTCTTTATCCAGGCATCTCTTGATGGACATCTAGGTTGATTCCATATATTGACTATTATGAATAATGCTATAATAAATATGGGGGTTCAGCTATCCCTTTGGTATACTAATTTAATGTCCTTTGGTTATTTTTAACTACTATTTAATATGCACCTTTCTTCTTATCAGAAAGTCCATAAAGTAGTAAATAAAATAGATAATCTCATCTCTATTTTACCATTTGAGGAAATGGCAGAAATATAAGTATAATTTGGAATTATTTGACTCCAGTGATTTGATCTAAAATCAATATAATATGTTGCTTCTCTGGTTTATTCATGAAAATGTCAATGAAATATTTAATAATATGGTAGTATCTGTGTATATTTATATAAGGCCCGTAATATCCTGTAGTCATTGAAAGCCAATATGGCTCACTCACTCTGCCATTTTTAAGTTGTCTTTTTATTAGTGATATGTAGAAAAACTGTATATGTCCTGGATAGAGGTCACTTGTCATGTATGCATATAATACAAATATTTTTCTCTGTCTCTGATTTGCCTTTTAATTAATTAATTAATTAATTTTACTTATTTGAGATGGAGTTTTGCTCTGTCACCAGGCTGGAGTGCAGTGGTGCGATCTCAGCTCACTGCAACCTGTGCCTCCTGGGTTCAAGCGATTCTCCTGCCTCAGCCTCCCAAGTAGCTGGGACTACAGGCACGTGCCACCATGCACAGCCAATTTTTTTTTTTTTTTTGTATTTTTAGTAGAGACAGGATTTCACCATGTTGGCCAGAATGGTCTCCATCTCCTGACCTCCTGATCCACCTGCCTTGGCCTCCCCAAGTGCTGGGATTACAGGTGTGAGCCACCACACCCAGCATACTTTAAAATTTTTTTCCATGTACTTTGATGAGCAAAAGTTTTCAATGTTAATAAAATAAACTTATCATTTTAAAACACATTTTGTATGTTTTGTGCCTTCTTTATGAAACATTTGCATGTTCCAAAATCCCAAAGAATTTATCCAATGCGTTCTTCTAGAAGACTTACAGTTTTAGTCCTCTGTTTAGGTTTATAATCCACTCAGTTAATTTTCGCATTTCATAGAAGGTTGGTTTAATTTTTAATATATGGAAATACAGTTCAGCACCATGTGGCAACTTCCTTTTACCCATAGATTTGCTTGAGATCTTATCATAAATAAATTAAACATATATGTGTGTATGTCTAGTTCTGTAATCTCTGTTCTATTCTATTGGTCTATTTTTATTTCCTTAGCCAATGCTAGTGTTTCTTGGTTAGTGTATATTTATATCAAATTTGAGGTTCTATAAAACAAATCTTCCAGTTTCTTAGTCTTTATTAAGATTGTTCTGACAATTCTAGATCCTTTGCATATACATATAAATCTTAGAATCCACTCGTCAATTTATTTTAAAAATTCTACCAGAACTTTAATTCAGCCTCTTTTGATATTTGCCAAATATATGCCAAGGAGTTATTTGCCAAAATGTCTCCTTCCTTTCCTTCTACAGTTACACGTATGGTAGATTAAGAATTCTCCTACTGGTCACTGAGGCTCTATTCATTTTAGTTCAACCATTTGTGGTCCTCTCACTATTCTACAGATTAGATAATTTCGTTGGATAAATTTCTGAGTTTATGGTATGGTAGATTAAGAATTCTCCTACTGGTCACTGAGGCTCTATTCATTTTAGTTCAACCATTTGTGGTCCTCTCACTATTCTACAGATTAGATAATTTCGTTGGATAAATTTCTGAGTTTACTCATGCATTCTATTTTTGCCTGGTTTTGTTCGTTCTTAAAGGACTTTGTGCAGATTTCTGTGTGTTTTTATACAGAATTTTTGTAGTTTTCAGTGAGAGAGTTCATCTGAAAAAAGCGACACCACCAACACAGAATAGCAAATGTCAATGTGGCTTTCTCTCTCTCTTTTTCTTTTTAATTTTAAGAACTTTTCTGTGTTTTCAGTGAAACAAGCAACTCTTCAGTGATTCTAAACAGGGCCCTTCCAAGTAGAAACAGTAATTTGGGATATTTAACTAAAATCAATTATGTATAATTAGGCATAAAGATCAATTTCTTGTAAAGTGGTCCTGACTTCACTATAATTTGGTAATTGTTTAAAAATGAAATTCACTAATATAAATGAGGAAACCAGTAAATGGAGCACTGTCAAGAGGGTGAATTTAAGGGGAAAGAGAATTGAGTAGCATCTTTCATGTGTTTTTCTTAAGACTAAATGAACCAATTCATGTAAAATACTTGGTAAGCATATAATTAATTTTAGCTTTTGCTACTTTTGTTATTGTTTGGCATAACAACTTCTCATTCAATTTTATGTCCACCATTTTGTGAATATAGCCAAATCCAGTATCCTTTTTATGGCATTCAGGTGTTTATGTAATTTATGTCTATCTACTTTTATAAGCATTTTTCAATATTTTCTTAACCAGTCGTTTGCTCTAATCAACTAGTCTTAGTGATTGTGTCATAAACAAGCCATATACATTCATATTTTCTCTGCTGTCATTCATATATTATATCTTCTCTAGAATGAAGTCTCTCTTCTTCTCCTTCACTTCTGCAAAAATCCACTTCCTTTACTCCTCCTACTGATTTGCAAAGTTCTTGACAGCAAAGCCTGTGATCGATTCAAATTTACAGCCCTATTTTACAGCACATATAAGGTATTGAATAAATGTTTGATAATCAGGAGAATATGAGATGTGGGGATGTTCTTAATCTTAAAAGAAGTTCAAAGTATTATCATTCTCTTCTGACAGACATATTTGAAAATAGGTATGACACAATTTTTTAGTCTGAAATCACAGAGTTATATTTGAGTACTGACATTCTTATGGCCATGTGTAGAACGAAAAGAATCACAGCTTTCTCTCCATGTTTTATTAACACACAGAAAAAAGATTGAAAAATATATCATTTCTTAAAAATGAAATGTATGATTTGCTACAAATGGCCATATGGAAAATATGATACCTGCTTATTTTTGACTCAGAGTGTATTCAATTTTTATACTAACTGAAAATTACATGATTGCTTTCTTTGTTTTAAAAGTGAAAAAAATGTAATAACTGCCTTTAGCCTTGTAATATTGAATGCGTCAATTGGCTTCCCTTGTAGAATGTTGAATTGGCTATCACTGGGGGCAGATGTTCTATACATCGCAGTAATACTGCTTATATAATTGTGATAATTTTCCACTTCTAATTTGTCATTTTCAGTGATTTAAAAATCACTTCATGACTGCCTGAAAAATGACTGACGTTTTTCCTATATTAAGTAATTTCTGCTGGTAAAGTGTAAGTCTTTTAATGAGTTCTTGAATTCTGTTGAAGTCTGCATATTTTCATTCTTTGTTCAACTAAACAGGTGTGACAATTTATAGAACTCCATGTAGAAACATCTCTCTAATTACTCCATCTTGGGACTTAGAAATGTGTTTTATGGGGAAGTGCCATAAGCTTATTTTTCAGATACAGGAACACTTCTGAACATATGGCTTCAGTTTTTATTTAGTACAAAAACTTGAAAATGAAAATCTAGAAAGTTAAATTTACAAGGCATTTTACCTTTTCTCTGTGGGTAACCTTATTATTGTATCTTGTCTGTGATACTCAGTGATATGACAGTTTTAGAAGCTGGCTATAAAAGCACAATACCATAATTATTAAAGTGTCATCATCCTTTCAATAGATACCATACTGGATTTCTTAGAATGTTGATTTGATTAGCATGAATAAAAATTCGAAATTTTTACAACCTACTTCATCATATTCAGGCTTACCTTAATAACCCAATCAAATTCTTATTTTATAGGTTTAAAAGCAATTTTAGGCTGGCTACTGTGGCTCATGCCTGTAATCCCAGCACTTTGGGAGGCCAAGGCCAGTGGATCACAAGGTCAAGAGATTGAGACCATCCTGGCCAACATGGTGAAACCCCGTCTCTACTACAAATATAAAAATTAGCTGGGCCTGGTGGCACGCGCCTGTAGTCCCAGCTACTCGGGAGGCTGAGGCAGGAGAATCACTTGATCCTGGGAGGTGGAGGTTGCAGTGAGCTGAGATCGCACCACTGCACTTCAGCCTGGTGACAGAGCGAGACTTTGTCTCAAAAAAAAAAAAGCAGTTTTAGAAATAGCTTGTAATAAATGAACATTTCCTGATTCAAGATAAAGATTTGGAAATAATTAATATATTTTGAACTCAAATTATGCCACAATTCAGGAGAATTTTCCATCAAGTTTAAAAGCAAATTTAAAAATAATCTGAGATAAGTGAATTAAATTAAGATGTACATATAAATATCTTAATGAACAATCAATTTTGTAAATTTGGGGAAAAATGTAATACCTTTTTCTGTCCTTTATGCATTAGATTTTATTCTATTAGTATTTGTTAGTCTATCTATGGTAGACCAACTCTGATAGCAGGGTATAATTGAAATTAGAGCTTTTAAGGAGCATCTTTAATAGAGTTTATTCTGTTTGATAAAACAAATATCATGCGTCATGGTAGATGAGGCCACCATTTGGTGTTTAGAACCCAAGGTTTCACTTCAGGAGCAGGGTCGCAAAAAACGGGAGCTTCTCTAATTCAATCATGCCTTTTTTTGGCAAGTTACTTTTTTTTAAATTTTTTTTTAATAAGAGAGTAATCCTCATATCTTCTCCCTGACAAAATTTTACTTAAATAATTGCTCTTAAGAGGTGTTATACTTGTATAATGAAGAATATCATTGAGATAGTAAGAAATACAGAGTGAACATCATTTTTGGCTTACTGAAATCATGTAATCGGTTCTGTAATATTCCTTATTTATTATTTTCTGAGTCTAAGATTTTAAAAATGGAATAAATTTAATTACTCCATGAAGAGAAAGCTGGGAAAAGTGCTAATGTCTCTCTTTCTCTCTCTCTCTCTCTGTCTCTGTGTGTGTGTGTGTGTGTGTGTCTGTCTGTCTGTCTGTCTGTCAGGGGGTACAAAAATTTATAAAATGAGTATATACTTTAGGTAAGGTAAACAACATATGTCAGATGATTTTTATTTCAGTTATTTTAAAACAGTTATTGACCAATGACTTTCTGAGTAAATCCCAGATGTTAATTTGAAAATGGTGCCTTCTTATACTTTTCAGAATTTTTTCATAGAAAAGTAATGATCTGGCTACTTATCATTAACTAAATATAAAATTATTTTCAAATAAATATCCTTGACCACACAGAATTTTATTAGTATAGCATTATGTGTAAATTTAGCCTATAATTTTGAATTTTCGGTTTATTTTAAAATTTCAAAATATTATTAATTAACATTGTTCCACTGGGTATATATAAAGACCAATGCTAGAAAGATTCAATGTACCTATTATTGAATAAATGAAAAGCAGTAGCTCTTTTATCTCACCTAATGTAGTTTGTTTTTATGACCCAAAACCAAGAACTACTTGTGTATTTTTAGTGTTTTGAACTCTGTACAATGTTTTCATACAAAGATGGCCTTCAGTGATTTTAACTATGAGAAAATAAATACAATAACCATTAAGTGCTATATATATATATGACAGTTGAACTAGGAGGTGGTTAGTTTTCCCACAAGAGACACTATAATTTTCTGAGTAATTTATTTTGAATGCTGATAAAATACTTTTGTCTGAAAAAATCTGACTTTTATCAATAGCTGAAACTCTGGGATTTTAGTATATATTACAAGCATATTTTTTCTCTGTGCCTTTGATCTATGTTCTTCTTATCCTCAGCCAAAATGCAAGTCTCTCTGTTTTTTACATTCTCCGGAGCTCTCATTTCTTTCCTAACTTTTCCTCCTCTGTCGTTCACTTCCAGTTCTTTGAGCACTTTTAATTCTTAGTGCTCTTTCATCTTCACTACTCAAAGTTTTTACTGGTCATCTGTTTCTGTGTGATAAACTAACCCTAAATTAAGTGGTTTAAAACAATGACAACATTTATTTTCATAAATCAGCAATTTTATTTTGATTTTGCTCTGATCATTGTCATTGCAAAGACTGGGTGCTAGAATTATCTAAAGATTGCTTCCTCCCAAATCTGGAAGTTGATGCCAGCCATTGGCTTAGATGTTGCTGATGCTATCTGTTGGAAGATTTACATACTGACTTTCTACATGGCATTGGCTTCCTTATACATGGTGCTAAATTCCACAATAAGCTTCAATAGAGACAATGAGCTGTATTAACTTTTATGACATCTTCAGAAATCATACATTGTCATTCTCTGTATATTATATTTGCTGAGGATTTTATAGAAGCTCATTTAGGATAAAGGGGTAGAGAAAGGTCTGTAAGACCAATTTTGGTTGGAAATTTTGCTGAAACTATTTTTGATAGTCTACCACACCACACGTTCTTTTTTCTCTTTCTGCAGTTTGTTACAGAATCATAGAAAGCTATGCATTCTACCATGTACCATTCCCCATGGGGGTCATTATTACTTTCTCTAAGCTAACAGTTGCATTTATGAAACTATTGCTTTACACATATTATTCAAAATCTGCTTCTTCTTTGAGCTCCATGTCACCTTATATCAGCTTTGCTACTGCTTTAACTTTGTCATTTACTGTCTTCTTGGTTTCTCCTCACTAATTGATGGATACACCTACTTGATAGTCTTTCTTTTCAAATACAAAACTTGTCATCGGTATTTTAAAATCTTACTTCAAATTTTTTGGTCTCCTTAACTGCAAGGAAAATCACAACCACTTTAATGTAGCAACTCATCCACAAAAGTCCCAAGAACCTCATCATTACTCTAAAAAACACTGGGCCTTGTTATCCTTCTAGTTCTCTCACTTTCTGAATCATTCTACATTTCCTTTTTTTTTTTTTTGAGACAAAAATCCCATAACCAACATTGTTATTTTTCCTGTGGAGGAAATTTTATTTGCTGGGAAAATATTTCTTTTGAAGTTCAAGGACTTCAATGTCACCCCATATCTACTATTTATTAATCTTGTCCAAAACATTTAACTTTGCTGAAGCTAAATTTTTTCATGTGCAGTAGTTGAGTAAAAAACAAAAAAGATAATTATTCTGAAGTTTAGTTAGATCTTGTATCTAAAATATAAATATTGTGCTTAGCATCTAGATAGTACCAAATTATTAATTATTGGTTTTCTCTTGCATAAATTTTTGTTCTTTAGTAATTAATCAAAATCCAGGTGTCACAGTTACTGACCACAGTTGGTGGAAATCCCAACATTTTTTATAGCTTTAAAAATACAGTGGCCTCTAGTCTCAGCACTACTGCCAATACATTATTTCCATCTTTTCTTAGGTATTGACACAGTAACCTCTTTAATATTCTATTGCTTCTTTTTCAAATTCTCCAAGATTTTTGGGTTTGTTTGCCTTTTGTTCAATTTCTCTTTCCTAAAGTTTTCCTTACTCCATCCTCATCAAGGATATTGTTTTTATCTCTTACACAGAAATGACATATCAAATTTATCTATTATTTATCAATTTATTCTTAACCATACAGTCCCTTACCTTTTTCTCTAGTTTTATTTGCTTGAATCTGTCTACATATAGTAATAACATTCTGACCTGAATTTCTCTCCTTACCGATAGCCTGATGTAATATATTCACATGAATTTAGCACCATTGGATTCATTATTTGCTATATATTTTTTAATGTCTAAGAACCAGTGACTTAATTCTAGTATATTACTTGATAGAAGTAGACTACCTATGAGGGTAAATTGTTTCATTTCATTAAACCGGTGTCATTGCTTATGAAAGCATAACCTAGGGACCTTAGGAGTTTGGACCCACAAGAGAGGATATACCAAATAAGAGCATATTATTAAAAAAAAATAAATCTTAAGAGAGAAACAATTTTATAAAGACAATATTTACAAGAACCAACCTAGGAATTAAGTAAGAAAAATAGTGAGTTTTAAATAAAATATGCCTAAATACATAAACCAGTTAATGAGATGGAGTGATGGCTCTCAAATACAGAAATATACGTAGTTTAGTGTTTGACTTCCTCTCTTTGAACTTTATCTCATCTGTAAATTTTTCCTGTCAGTACAATCACATTTTTGTACAAATAAGACACTTTATATTTCTGTTTATGTGCTATATTATTGGATCCTATACTTTACTGAATTCCAAATAATTTGTAAGTCATAATGAAGAGTTGTTCAGGAAATTCAAGGCATGTTATTCAAAAGCTCATCAAATTTGTAACTGCTTACATTAAAAAATTTTTAAGTTAAATTTGTTCCACAAACTTTTCCATAAGAATATGTATCTGACATTTTAGTGTAGATATTGAAAATATAATTTGCAAAATAATTATAAAACATCTCCTGTTTTGTGATCATCCTAACGTACTGCCTTCCAAGAGAAAACATGGATCTGCCAAACATACCCATATTCTTCCATGATGGTTATGTTTACCAGACATAAATGGCTTTCAGACTTACAAAATATTTTGTTATAATTACATTTCATCTTCAACATTGGTACACACTTCTTTATATGGATCTTCCAACTCTATGATTTCGTTTTTGAGAAGTAATTAAACAAATACATATTGCAGTGTATCACATGATCCCCTTCAAAGTGCATGGAAACTGACAATATGATGTTAGTTTGTGTCCATAAAAAAATGTACTGTTTATTCAGGCACTGAGTAATATGAATTAAAGCAAGATGAACAAATGCAATCATCTTCATATAAACTATATATAGAAGAGTTTAACACTATAAAACATAGCATAATCTAACCAAATTTCTTCTCCCATTTAGGTTCTATATTTAGTTTTTAAATATGTCTCATTTAAAAGGATAATGCCATGAAAAATATTATGAAATATAGTTTAACATGACAATACCATGTTATCTTAAGGTTAAAATATCTTAAAATATTTTATTAGAAATAGAATAGTAATGGTAATTTACATAATCACATGATTTCTATTGTGAACAAGAATACAAATAATTATGATTCATAGAAGAGAAAAAATAGTCAACTAGTATTTTCCATATCATTTATTTTACAGTAAGGAATATTTTTCTTTCTAATGGCTCTGGCTACAGAGGTAATGAGATCATATTCTGAATTTTCAATTACGTCAACATAAATTACAATGATGTCAAAGCAGGAGTTAGTGAAAAGCTGGTTGTGATATGCTAAGCAAGTTGTCCAAGATCTGAAAATCATTGGTTTTACTCTCTTGTACTAATATAAAAAACAATCCCAGAATTCATCGTCATTTATCTTTATTTTATTAGTTGATTTTATAAACTCCTTTTTTTTGTTTTTGTTTTTAAAACAGGGTCTCACGTTGTTGCCCAGGCTAGAATGCAGTGATGTGATCTCAACCCACAGCAGCCTCAACCTCCTGGGCTTAAGTAATCCTCCCACTTCAGCCATTGAGTAGCTGGGACCACAGGCACCCTAACAAATCTGACAATTTTTTTTTTTTTTTTTTTTTGTAAAGATGAGGTCTCACTATGTTGCCCAGGCTGGTGCTTTTGTAAACATTCTATGCCATCCTTTTGTTTTCGTTTTTGTTTGTTTGTTTTTTGAGACGGCGTCGTGCTCTGTCACCCAGGCTGGAGTGCAGTGGCGCGATCTCAGCTCACTGCAACCTCTGCCTCCTGGGTTCAAGCGATTCTCCTGCCTCAGTCTCCCAAGTAGTTGGGATTACAGGTGCGTGCCACCATGCCCAGCTAATTTTTGTATTGTTAGTAGAGACAGGGTTTCACTGTATTGAACAGGCTGGCCTCAAACTCCTGACCTCATGATCTGCCCTCCTCAGCCTCCCAAGCCATCCTTTTTTTATAGCTTCACCTTTAATTTTAGAACTAAACACTATATCCACATCCATCTTCTTAAGTGACTTTGGCGTGTAGGTAACAATTTCTCTTCTTGGTATCACACTTAACAACTTATACATTAATGTGGATGACATGTCAAATTCCAGAGATTTACAGTTAGCTCTCTTTGATTATAGTACTAACATATAATCATCAGTCTTTCTGTCAGCTCAGTTACTTAAAAATTTCAGATTATTTTCATGTCTTTGGACTGGCTAACACAGTACTAGCCATATGTAATCATTTAACGTTTAAATGTGATATCTATTGTATAGAATGGTTAGTGACAATATATTGTATTCTTGATTAATGAGTATTGCTTTTAATGCAAAAAAATTGAATGTATATTTAGATTGGTAAGACTGCATCAAGGACATCTAGCTTCATAAATTTTAAAACCAATCTAATATATTAAATTAAAATTGAATTAAAAATAATAATAAGTTCTATTTATTGAGTACTTGCTACATGTTGGGCAATGTGTTCATTGTATTTTATGCATTATTTACATTTAATCTTCAGAATGATACCAAATAGTATTTGCCACTTTACTTCCCATTGCACCCATTAATTAGAGAAAAGAAAGCTCAGAAGGCTTTCATGAGTTTAAAAATTTCTTAAGTCTATACCTTACTTGTGGTAAAAGGAATGTTTTTAAACATTAATGACATCAGCATATTTTTCTCCTTGATACTCAGTTGGAGACAATATTTTAATTGCTGGCATATACTCTTCTCTTGCTTGCTATCGGTCCTTTAAAGTAAGCACATTTTAAGGAAGATGGTATTACCATAAACTCCTCTAGAAACATCCTTTTCCTGAGAAAGTATTATTTTGTATCTAATCTCTTATATAGACAATTTTTAAAAGCCATACATAAAATTTAAAATGCCATGTGGAGGAAGCTTGGGCATTTTTCTTTGATATGATTTTAAGTCACAGTGCAATCTGGCAATTGCTATACTTAGGCTAAAGCTAGGGACTTAAAATCTTTGGAAATTTACTTACATCATTTCCTCAGCAGATGCTTGGCAGAATAGATGCCTATGTATAGCTGAGGAAGAAAGTTTTTTGAGGATAGTGAGAGATATGTTGAAGTTTGAATTCCTCTGGCTTTTTGTGACTTAAAAAAAAGAGCTGAATGGTATTCACCAGTACTAATGGCAAAATGTCCCTCTTTCTTGAAAAATACAAATTTTCAAGAAAATAAAAGAAATAAAAAATACAGAGAAGAATAATTTTAAAAGAAAAACAAAATTTGATTTTGGTGAAGTTCATGTGACTCATAGATTTGAAGGTGTATACATTTTCTTTCATACATTGAGTTTTGATCCTATTTTTAGATTCACTGACCTAAAATATTTGATAAAAGAATATATGAAAACATTATGTCCTTAAAAATTTTAATGGAAAAGAAATACATATCTATGTATATTTACCAGACTGAAAATATTTTTTATGAAGATTCAAAAGTATAACTGAAAGAATTTCACTGAAATAAAAATGTTGTTTTAAACGTTTTCAGTTTGAACTACTTATGATATTACATGTCAAAAAATTGGTTGTTACCATACTTCTTCCAATTTCATGATTAACAAAGTTTATGAACTCATAAAATTTGATGTATTATATAAGGTCGCTAGAATTGGCAAATAAAAACAGAAAAAAGTCCAGTTAAATTTGAATTTCAGAAAAGGAATGGATGTATTATTATATCTCATATCTTGAATGGGAAATACTTATACTGAAAAATATTGTTCTATCAGAAATTCAAATTTAAGAGTGTACGATATATATTATCTGGCAACCCTAGAGGTGAATTTGAACTTTGATTTCTTCTTTGTTTCACAGAAAAATTCATTAGATCAAAGAAGTAAAGAAAAGTATTTAAGTAGAGACTACATAAAATATTAAAAAGAGTGAGATATTCCTGATGCCATATCTCATAGAATCTTAAAGTTTTAACATCTGTGAAGGACATTAAAGATATCCTTCACAGAAATGAATGAGACATTTCTGTGGAAGAGAATAGAGTTTCAGTTTTGGTTTTTCTTGAAATGTAACAATCACCAGAACTGAAATTTCTCTCTCAGAATTCTCCTTCTATTGGGCTTCCATAAAACTTACACTGCTTTGCAATCATAGGTATATCAAGGTATATGTTTTTTATTTGTGATTTCCTTAATAGGTAACTTTTGTTCGAATTAACCAAAGGCACCCAAATACTTAAAAGGACGCTGGAATACATAAGAGTCATAATGAAAAAGGAGGTTATATTCAGGTCCTGACATGCAAAATAGGGCCATGCAACAAAATAACTAAATAACTAACTAACTAACTAACTAAATAAATAAATAAATAACTTTAAAGGCTGGCTGTTATGTTGTAAGTCCATCCTGAAGCACCCAGGCCGTAGACTTCTCCCTCACTGTGCATAGTATTATTTAACTAAATGTAAAGTAGCTAATCTAGCTTAGTGGGAATAATAGCAAAGTCCTAGAGGAAGTAAGAATAAAATTTCCCCTATTCTTGCCCCAAAAAGCATGAGAAGAAGGCTTTGAAAAAAGAAAACAGCAAAAATAAGTTATATGTGTCACTGTCTCTTCTTGTAGCTTCGGCTCTGATTAGGAAGAAGCATCAGAACATCTCTTGCCATGATTCCCTGTTTAAGGTTCTGGAAACAGCTTTTTGTTACTTTCCCTTTAAGGATAAAGTGTCATAGGAGTGCTCAGGAGGTTAATTTTCCTGAGCTGCCCTTAGTTCTTCTCTGGTATAAACCCAACAGAGAAACCACTGAGAGTCTAGTTTGAGACTTTGGGGAAAGGAGCAAACAGGGCATTGGAGTTCCCACAGTCAGTGATGTGCATTCTTTATTTTCAAAAGTAATGTGTGCATGATAGTAATTAATCCCTTCTAGTTTGGAGACATTTTAGGTATATCTCTTAATATATTATCTTTGTCTATGGCTTTTTTTAATCAAAAGAAAAGCTATAATCAAAATCTACACATTCTTCTTAATATAATTCTGTCATATATTTTTATTTTGTCTGGACAATTACCCCCACACTATTATTTTCTAGTGTTAACCTACATTTGCGGCTCCTTTTTACCTATGTATTTTTAAGTAATGTTATTAAGCATTATTAAATATATAATTTAATTTGGCTTAAATTAATAGGATAATTTGGAGAGAACAGACAGTATACTGTTAATTCATGAAATCTCATAAAGTGACATATCTCTTCATTTATTCAGATTTTTAAATCTTCATTATGATAGTTTCTCTCATATGGGTTTTGTATGAGTGTTTGTGTGTGTGTGTATGTGTGTGTGTGTGTGTTTAAATAGTCATGTGTATCAGTTTTGTCATTCTAGGGAATAATATCTTATTTCTGATTTTTTTTTATAACTGTTAGTCTTTTGGTAAGGAAATGGCATTGAATGTTGGGCATCAATCTTGTATTCTGCAACCTTGTGGAAATCTTGTATTCATTCAGTATTTTACCTATTTGTTCTATGCATTTACTTGCTAGATAATCCAGTTTCTCTGCATATGATTAGAATAACTAACTTATCTTCCAATTTTTAAATTTTGTTATATAAGTGAGGCAAAAAGGCCTCTGTATATTGGCCCCTACATTGATATTTCTTCACTACAGACTGATATCTGTTAGCTCAAATGCCAGCTGGTACCACATTAAAATTTTTACATACATAATGGTTTTAAAAATAGTCCAAACAAGAAGATTTTTAGCTATTAGGTGGGTGCAAAAGTGACTGTGTTTTTGGCCATTACTTTCAATGGCAAAAACCTGAATTACTTTTGCACCAAACTAATATTTAGAGCCTGCCTACTTTGTATAACCTGTAAAACTACATATAGCATCTGCTGGGCATTGATGAGCTAGAGCTTTGTGGTGATAAAGCCTAAGCTGCTACTGCCCTTAAGAGCTCTCTGACCCAGAAACTTTCCGTGGTGCTGCTTAGTTATCACTTGGACAAGTAAGTCTCTCTCGGATTCCCTTTTACCTCAGGAGTTTCCTTGTGTTCCTTCTCTTCTGGATGGTGGCCTCCTCACAATTAGTGTCTGAAGGTCTTAAGTTAGAGAGACGTCCCTTCTCATGCAACCCTGTCCAAGTGCCATTCAATGAAGTTTGTGTGTGCATTACTGTCTTTTTTCATCACATCTGTTTTCCTTGATCAACCCCCAAATCTTTCCAATTTCCAAATATCTCTTATTTCCTTTTTTTTTTTCATTTTGGTTTGACCAAGACCTCTAGGACAGTAGTAAATGGTTGTAACAGTGAGAATTTTAACAATGTTCCTCATATTAAAGGGAATTAATTTAATTTTTCCATTTCATATGAAATATACATTGTCCAACATATTCTCCCATGGTTTTATTTGTAACTATCCTGAATGAATTTGTTTCTAATAAATGGTACATATTATATTTTATTTTGAGGATTTATTTCTTTCGACTCATTTGCTTAATGTCGTATTTTATATTCTAGGTCTAAGTGTCAACAATGAAATATCTCTTTAACTGAATCCCTTAATAAAAACAGTATATACAAAATTCTTCAATAAAATATTATCTTATATTTACTGCTTCCATTACCTCAATGCCTTTTTTAGTTCCAATTCTTGGTTTTAGTGGTGGTATTTGAAATCATATATACATTATAATATAATGATCTAGAAAAATTATTAAAACTTGTTACACTATTATACATTTTATATTGCTGAGGGCAATGCAATTTCTAAATTGTTTTTCTAATTCTCTGTCCCATTAACATTTCTTCTTTCTCAAAATTGTAGAATTTTCTTTCTCTTATTTATTATTGATTGATTGATTGATTGATTGATTGATTGATACAGGGTCTTACTCTTCATCCAGGCTGTGGGGCAGTGGCACAATCACAGCTCACTGCAGCCTCAATTTCCCAGCCTCAAGGGATCCTCCCACCACAACCTCATGAGTAGCTGGGATCAGCCAACACATTCAGCTGATTTAAAAAATTTTGTAGAGTTGGAGTGTCATGATGTTGCCCAGGCTGGTTGTGAACTCCTGGACTCAAGTGATCCTCCTGCCTTGGCCACCTAAAGTGCTGCAGTTACAAGAGTGGGAATAAGCGACCATGCGTGGCCTGATTTTGTTTTGGTATTAGAAAGTTCCTCCAATTTGAATTTTAAAAATATATTTATTTATCTCAACGCTAATTGTGCTTTTCTCTGACTCTGATGTAAATTTAATTCCAATTTTTATTTGTCTATAAATTCTAACTTATGTTACCCTTCTTTTCCATTTCATTCTATTATCTGTCTTTTTTGTTTGTTTGGTTGGTGTTTGTTTGTTTGTTTGTTTGTGACAGAGCCTCACTCTGTCACCCAGGCTGGAATACAGCGGCACAATCGTGGCTCACTGCCACCTGGACCTCCTGGATTCAAGTGATTTTCCCACCTCAGGTTCTGAAGTAGCTAACACTGCAGGTGTGCATCACCACACCTGGCTAATTAAAAAAAATGGGGGGAGATGAGGTACCATTATGTTGCTCAGGCTGGCCTCAAACTCCTGGCCTCAAACTCCTGGCCTCATGTGATCCTCCCTCTTCAGCCTCCCAAAGTGCTGGAATTACAGACGTGAAGCACCACAACTGGTTTCTGCTATCTTTTTATCTCATTTATTTCTCTCTTGGTGTTCTTCTCTTTTCATTTTATAGACATTGTATGTTCTTGAATATGGCAAAAGGTTTTTCTTATTAACGCAGTAGACTATTATCTAAATTATATTTTATTTCAGTATTCAGAACAATGGTTCTATTCTCTATTTTTGTAGAACTATCTATAAATATTGCTGTTTGTTTTTTCAACATTACTTAAAGAAGTGAAAGCTACCCCAATTCAGAAATTTTTAGTAATTAGGTCATGTGGATACCTTTAAGCCTCATCTCTCTTCACTGAGTAATGGCAAAATAAATTTCTCAGTCCCACACGTGGAACACAAGGTAAGTTTCCAACCTAGTCATTGGTTCTTGTTGAACATCTACAGATTCTCTAGTCTACTGTGGTGGATTCTGCTTCTATGCTCTGAATCAATGGAAGCATGAAAAACCGAAGTTTCCAGACTCTCTCCTGTATGCTCACTTGGAGTATCATATGGAGTTGCTGTTTCAGAATAGATGCAAAACGACTGGGGAGAGGAGATGGTTTAGAGGAGATAGGGCTCCAATTTATTAAAAGGTGGCATGTAGACGGATGATGAAACTTTTTACTTTCTTTTAGATGATGAGAAGACAAAATATTTGTATATTGATTACATTAACTTTGATGTTGGTAGAGATTCAACTTTGGCATTTAGTTGTATTACAAACTTTAGTCTTATTTTCAGTTTTCACAGATATATTTGACATAATTTGGGAGATATCTTATCATGCACTACAACTCAGGCATTCTTTAAGCCAGACAGTGTAATTTGCTATTCTGTAGTAAACAAAATTTAACTACCTTCATGGGACAGCCAAGATAAATATTAGAAATATCTACCCCCTGTAGTTGTATATCTAATCTTACAAACTGTATCCAAAAAGTCTTCTTTGCTTCATATCTCCTGTGTCTCCTGTGATCTTGGTTGTATGTACAAAATAACAATTAAAATGCATCAATGTGTATACTTTTGAATGATCTCTGCATTAACTGGGGACCGCGTAATTGCATAAGATTAGACTACATGACAATTTACATCCATTTATCGGAATCCAATAGATAGAAGAAAATTGAAAACATAACTGAAATTTGAAAAAAGAAAATAGGTAGATTTTTCTTTAGGATAAAGATAAAAGCACCAAATCATACATTTGTATGAAATTAAATATATTAAAAGTATATAGTATCACAATATATTAAAATTATATACCATCACAGTTAACCCATTTATGCCTGAGGTTGCAATTTTTTGAATTTTTGCAGTCAGACCTTGGTGATGACCTTGAGCAATAGAATACAAATAACTCCCACATGCTTAGCACTCCAATAATGGAACACTAGGCATAAATGGGTCAAGAGGGAACTTGAAGTATATCTCAATGTTCAAGACTGAGTTGTCATTTACATAATTATATTTGATTTTAAACTCAACGTTTATTTTCCTGACAAATATTTTAAGGAGACAAACCATACTTTTTTAAATAAACACATCAAGCAATATTTGATCATGAATTATTATTTTTATATGCATACATAAAATACTTCTTGCACAAATTAGTTTATAAATTATTCTCTGGCATTGAACAAATATGTATTGATCACCTTCTATATGTCAAGCACTGTATTAGGTACTTGGAAATATAAATAATTTTATGTTAATATATGATAGGTTAATAAAAATAGAAAACAGTAAAACAATATGAGAAAATCAGCAAATGCTAAGAGAATAGGTTTACCAATTTTATATCAATTGTTTACAAGGTGATTAGAAGAAATCTCATCGAGAAAGTGATATTTCATCTAATATTTGGGGGTGTCAGGCAATGAACAGTGACAATTGTTTGGGAAATAAAGTTGTAGACAAAAGAAACAGCTAGTGCACAACCAGGAGTGTGTCAGGGGTGCAATTTAAAGAGTGGTAATAACAGAGAATTATGTCAGATAAGCAAGTAAGAGTCAGAACCTCAGAGACCATCTGAAAGACTTTAATTTTGACCCTGAAATGGGGAGCTACTGCAGTTTTGAGCAGAGGGGTAACATGGTCTGACATGTTTGGAAACAGTCATTCTGACTGCTGTGGTGAGAGGGAAATACGGCAGAGATGAGGGCAGGAATAGAAGCAGGAAAGCCAGTTAAATGTCTTCTCCAGTTATCCATGTGAGAAAAGAAATTTTCCATGAAATAATATTATTTTGAATACCTTGGAAATCAAGAGAACAAGCTTGATTATTGAAGTATAGAAAAAAATTCAGCCAAATAAAATGTAAATATAATGAGAATGAAATGTGTACATGTTAAAAATTTGACACATTGACAACACATATTAAGAACCATAAAAAGTATACATATTTAAAATGTAAGCCATATAACTCACAATTTTAAATATCTATTGTGAGAGAATGAATAGTTTTAAATTTAATGACTATGAAATTATAGACATTAAAGTTCCTGTAAAATTTAAGAGTAATGGTGTGACATCAAAACACAGTGAAAATAATAATGGAATATTTCAACAGTTGCTTGTATCTTGTAGTAAAGACATACACAATCCTAAGAGAAAATATACTGTAAATAATACACTACAAATAATAAAATATACTATAAATAATAAATAGAATTCTAATATTTCTACTTCCAGTTATTGTTCAATGTAAAGACTTAAATTTAACTTTTTAAAGGAGCATACCCAAAATTGATTCTGTGTGTGTGCAGAGTTCTATGAATCTTTACACATAAAGATTTGTGTAATCACCGTTATAATTAGGATACAAAACATTTCCATTCACACCAAAACTTCCTTCACACTATCCCTGTGCAGCCACACTCTCCCTCACTCCAAACCCTACCAATCACTCATCTGTTCTTTGTCATTATAGTTTGACTTTTCAAGAACATTATATAAAAGTATCATACATTACATGAATTATTTAAGTTGACTTCTTTCACTCAGCATATCTTTGAGATTCATCCAAGTGTTGTTTATATTTATAGTTCACTTATTTTTATTTCTCAGTAGTTTCCTATTATACAAATGTCCCAAAATTTGTTATGCAGTGGCCAGTATAAGATATTCCCTCATTTAAAGACATTTGAGTTATTTCCATTTTTAATGATTATGAATAAAACTGCTATAAGTGTTCATGAATACGATTAATGTTTCATTCTCTAGAGTAATAGGTTTTCATTCTCTATGGTAAATACCCAAGAATAGCATTGCTAAGTCATATGAAAGTATAGTTTAATTTTATAAGAGACTGATAAATCATTTTTTGGAATGGCAATACTGTAATACTACTTCCTATCAGTAAAGTATGAGAGTCCCTGTTACTTGGCATTTTAATTAATAATGGTTGTTTTACTGTTCTATTGTTTTAGTTATTCTAATAATTGTGTAGCAAGCAGCTTGTGATATAAAATATTTTAACGATTATATTTAAAATTTATTCAGTGCCCTTAAAACTTAAGAAGGTATGCTTAAAACTTGAGGGTTTCAGGGCTGATCAAGGAAAAAGACATGATCATGAAGTGGCAATAACATTTAATTGTGTAGGTTTAGGATTACGTGGGAGGGGCATACACAGCAGATGTTTCAGAAACAGAAGCAGAAGGCCAGAACCCAAATCGCAGAGAGGGCAAAGGAGCTCCAGGAAGAAAGGAATATGAGAGTGAGCTTATACATCTGGGTGATGTAGCTCAGCACTATAACTGGAAGTCGATGAGTTAGAGAACTCCAAAGATCAACAGTCGCTTGGTGTCATCTATAGCCTCAGGATGTGTCTTATCTATGACTAACAAATGTTGAGTGAAGTTTTCCTAGATATGTAATGGAGCTAGGCTCTAAAGTGCTAAAAATAGTGCTTATCAGGAGTTTGTTCAGAACAATTGCATGTGTGAAAATTTATGTTTGGCACCATTGGGCTTTTGAGGTAATGGTCTTAGCCTTCTGTGAAGAAGTAAACAATGGTAGAGTTAATTTACCAAGGCCATTGTTGCCTCATTTATATGACAGAAGAAAGTACAACTATATATGGCATTTGATCCAATCAATCACATCAATTGAGTAATACAATTTCTGAATAGAGAATCATAATATTTTATCAATATCTGGATAAACCAAACTTGGAAAATACATCTTTGGTAATTTATTATTTTAATGTTTGATATAGAAACAGTATTTGACCTTCATGTATGAAGAATATTATGGATCATTTAGTAAACTTCCTTATTTAGAAGTAGAGTTGGGAGCATGTTAAGAAATTCATATATGCCAATTCTTTTATAGTAATGCATCGTGTTAATGGAATAGTTTTTCAATTTAATAATATAGTGTGAAGCAGTCAGTGTGTTTGTATGTGAACTAATTGATCTATATTTTAAGTTTATTTGGCAACTATTGTGTTGTTTGTAGTAATCCATTGATTTGTTCAGGCCAAAACACCACTAGATATTACCGGAATAAATGTTCATGTACTTGACTGAAAAATTGCCAAAGGAAGGCTGAGTAAACTAAAGCTGGCTTTTGGCTCTACGTCAGCATGAATCTGAGCTAAATAGAACTAATTTTGATTTAATCTCATTTTTTCCATTATTAACACTATAATTATTTTCAACTGGCCTGGTCATAAGGTCCAAATTATCAGGTCTGATGAGATGAGCTAAAGAGTTTCACAACTATGGAGAGTTCTTTCTTTCTGTACCATATGTTCTCAAAAGAGAAAATAATTAATCAAGATGGGAGAACAAGGGGACTTTATCTTCTTAGATATTTGACAGAAGTTACATTTTTATCTGCATATTAACAATGCAAACATTTATAGTATGGCTAGTGTAAATTTGTATTTTATATATAATAGAAATTTTTGCCTATTTCTTACTTTGTGGATTTATTAATTTATATGTAAGTTTAGAAAGATGTGATTATCTCTAGGGAGGAAAGAGTAGATACCATAACTCATGGTGTCTCTCTGGATAATTTCCTCTTTCCTTTTATTTTTTCTCTCTCCATTCTGTCTTTTCTCTTAGAGGATATTTTATATGTATGTGTGTGTGTGTGTGTGTGTGTGTATACATATATACATATATACACACATATATCAGTGATATATATTATATTAATACATACAATAAAATTATATATATATATATATATATATATATATATATATATATAAAATACACAAACACACACACACACACGCACCAGAAAAAGTATGGAAAAATAAGAAAAGATACAGTAGTAATCCTTTTAGTTTAGGTAATTTCTGTTTAAGAAAGCCAACCAAAATACAGTGACTACTTTGTGAGAATGGACAATTTATCATACTATGACTGTAAATATATTTTCAAATATTTCAGTTGGTTTTAAATATTTATGGGCTAAAAAATATTTGTCTCTCCATGTAAACAGATATTTGAGATCTCTTGAACAGTCTTCTGTTCAAGACTCTCTATGAAACTCTTTTTTATCCATTCATTCATTTAACAAATATTTATCAAACATCTACCAGGTGTCAGGCACTTCTTGCCTTAGCATCTTTGGTATAAAGTTGTATAATAATATTTTATTTTATCTTTTCATTCATTAAATTGTCAGATTTAAAATATCATATACTCTTCATTATATGTACATTCTTATTATCTTAATCATTTGCATATTCCAAATATTGATTTTGAAAGTTATAGTAGGTTCTTTAGTCATTTTGTTTCACACTTAAACTATAATGTTCTCTAAATTTACTCTGCTTACCTGTGCAAAATAATATACAGATAATGACAGCAATTATTCAGAATTAATACCACTGGCATTTAAAATATCACTAGGAACATCAATTGCTTCATCTTTTCTAATAAGTGAAAATATTAATTGAATATCCCCAGTCTCTGTGACATATACACTCAGCACATCCTCTCTCTCATTCTTTCATATACTGTTACAGCTGGCCTTTCAAACCAGCAGGTGCATCTTGCTCAATTAATTTTGGCAAAGTTCACTTAGCAGGAGCCATCTTATCAGATTTTAATGACTGTGTGTATAATTCTATCATAGCAAAAGTGTTTTTCTCTGATTTTCGTAAGGAAAATATAAAAGCATTTTTTAGAACAAATCCTATTAAATATCAACAATTTAAAAATTCTATACTTTTTAATTAAATTTTTTGTAAGATTATTTTGCAAGTACATTACAAAGTTGTGACAATAAGTCTCTCTATTACCTCTGTCTCTATAAATATATATATGCTATTAGGCTTACAATAGTACCTGCAATGATGTTTTATTTGAAACATTGCAATTTCTCCTCAGTGTCTGGCAAAATTCAGTATTTTTAGTAGGCAACAAAAAATGTCTTTGTCTACCCAAACTGTTTTCACAATTATAAGATAAGTGTGTATGTGCTTTGTAGGCAAATATAAACAGGTAGCTTAGATTGGGTATACCCTAAATTACAAACTTTTAATGCATTACATGTACTTGATTAAATTATGTAAATCCTGAACTTAACAACAGAAACTATTTCTGAGCAATTCTATTAACAGAAATAAGTGACATTACTTCAGCTTTGAAGTGATAAATAGGAATTGGAAAATTAGTCCTGAAGTTCTCGAAACATTTCTGAGAGCACCTTATTTGAGTCAGCATAAATTATGCTGTTTTTAGGTATTAATGTTTTGTCTTTATTTGACAGCTAGGATTCTCATGGGATATTCCCTGAGGTTAGGCTGGGAACAAGTATAAGATGGGTGAGGGAGGATTGAGAACTAAGACTACAAAGATGAATCCGTAGTTTCTGTCCTCAAGCAAGTCATAGGTTGGTGGAGAATGAAGACAGAAATGTATACAAAGAAATTATGATGGAAGATGTGATGTGCCACGGTAGAGAATATATGGTTGCTATAACAAACATTCAGTAAAGTACTTTATGCATGATCAGATTTGAATTTTACAGTGATATCTTGAATGACAAGAGTAGAGGATAATTCAGAGTTTAGGAGGTTGCAACTAACCTAGTTATATTCCAAAGATGTTGGTCCAAACTTAGTAGTGCCAATAAGGAAACAGACAATGATAGATACATGTTCAAAATCCACATGATTTTCCATATAGCTTTTTATGAGTGGGGAGGGATGAAGAGTTAAGAAGCAGGATTGCTCCCTGGTTCTCCCTGGATATGATTAAGAAGGTAATATAGGTTTGAGGGTAGGCAGAAATAGTGGTCTAATTTTGTACTTGCTGAGCTTGAGCAGCTACTCAAGCTTTCAATGGCTACTACTGTGGGCCATTTAAAAAGATAAGATGACTGATATTTGAGAATTTGTACCAAACTTGTACACATCTAATTAGGTCTAGGAACATATATAAGAATGTTTAAGCTTGATTTGTAGGTGAAAATATTAATTATCTTTAGCTTGGTAACTTTCAGCTTGATTCCGTGACAATGTAGCATATTAGGGTAAACTTGATTTTTTTTTATTCGTCAGAGTGTGCTAGATTATTTTAGGATAACAAAACAAATAATAGCACTTATTTAGAACAAGAAAGAATTATTTCTTACTTATACAAGGAAACTGCAGTTTCAGATGATATTCCAAGACAACCATCAAGCAAAGGATAGTTCAACTTTGCAATTCCAACATCAATTCCAATCGAGGATTGCTGCTGCATTGAAAGAGAACCTTTGGCCAGGCACAGTGCCTCACATCTATAATTCTAGCACTTAGGAAGGCTGAGGTGGAAGGATTGCTTGAGGCCAGGAATTTGAGACCAGCTTGGGCAACAAAGTGAGACCCCATCTCTACGGAAAAAAAAAGAATTAGCTGAGCATGGTGGCACATGCCTGTGGTCACAGAAACATAGGAGTCTGAGACAGGAGAATCACTTAAGCCCATGAGGTCAAAGCTTTAAGAGCCGTGTTTGTGCCTCTGCACTCCAGCCGATGTGACAGAGGGAGACCTAGTCTAAAAAAATAAATAAATAAAACACAACAACAACAACAACAACAACAAAAGAGAGAAAACAACCTTGGAGAGTCTTCTATCAGCAATTAATTGCTTCCATCTTTAAGTGACACATGGCATATGTTCCATCTGCATAGATTTATTTAGCTAAAACCAATCACAAAGCTATGCCTAAACTCAAGGGGGTAAAGAAGTTCTATACTGACCCTCATGTGCTCAGGAGATAATGGTAAGTAGCACTAACGTCTTCAACAGTTTTGAAGTCAGAAACACTTGAATTTCTCTATATAAGATCATGTTGTCTACAAACAGGGACAGTTTGACTTCCTCCTTTCTAATATGGGTACATTTTATTACTTTCTCATGCCTAATAACTGGCTAGAACTTTCAGTACTATGCTGAATAGAAATGGTGAAATTAGGCATAAAGTTACATACTTCTAATTTGTTGTGAGGTTTTTTTTTTTATCATGAAGGGATGTTGAATTTTGTCAAATGCTTTTTATGCATGTATTAAAATTATCATATGCTTTTGTCTTTCTGTTAATGGGATATGTATCACATGTATTTATTTGCATAAATTAAACCCTCATTGCATGCCTGGGATGATTTCCACTTGATCATAGTGAATGTTCTTTTTTTTATAATTATAAAATAATTGTACAAGAACAGTGGTAATGAATCTTAAAATTAAAACTGAATTGTATTAAGTCATTAAGAGTAAATTTTTTTTTTTTTTGAGACAGAGTCTCACTCTGTCGCTAGGCTGGAGTGCAGTGGTGTGATCTCGACTCACTGCAACCTCCGCCTCTCAGGTTCAAGTGGTTCTCCCGCCTCAGCCTCCTGAGTAGCTGGGACTACCGGCACTCCACCACGCCCAGCTAATTTTTGTATTTTTTAGTAGAGACGGGGTTTCACCATGTTGGCCAGAATGGTCTCGCTCTCCTGACCTCGTGATTCGCCTGCCTCAGCTTCCCAAAGTGCTAGGGTTACGGGTGTGAGCTACCTCGCCCGGCCTGTTCTTTTTAGTGTACTGTGGGATTGAATTTTTTAGGATATTGCTGAAATTTTTTGTATCTGTGTCCCTCAGAGATATGGCCTGTAGCTTGCATCTCTCTCTCTTTCCTTCTTTCTTTCTTTCTCTTTCTTTCTTTCTTCCCTTCCTTCCTTCCTTCTTTCTTTCTTTTTCTTTCTCTCTCTCTTTCTTTCTTTCCCCTTCCTTCCTTCCTTCCTTCCGTCTTTCCTGCATCCTTGTCCGGTATTAAAATCAAAGTAGTGCTACTCTTGTAAAATTAATTTGGAAGTATTTCATTCTGTTCAATTATTTGGAATAGGTTGAGGAAAATTACTATTAATTCTTCTTTAAATTTTTGGTAGAATTCAGCAGTGAACCCATTAGACCCTGAGCTTCTCTTTGATGGAAGACTTTTTGTTACCGATTCAATTTTCTTACTAATTTTTGTTCTGTTCAGATTTTGTATTTCTACAAAATTTAATCTTAGCAGAGTGTACGTATCCAGAAACATATCAATTTTTTCTATGTTATCTAATTTGTTGGCATATAGTTGTTCTTAATACTCTCACATCTCCTTTTGTATTTCTGTGGTGTCAGTTGTAATGATGCATTTTTCACCTGATTTTACTTATTTGAGTCTTCTCTCGTTTTTTTTAGTTTAGTTAAAGATTTGTGAATTTTATCTTTTCAGTCATCCAACTCTTTATTTTGTTCACCTTTAAAATTGTTTTTAGTTTCTATCTTAAAATTCTTTATAGAAAACCTTAAAGATTCTATCAAGAAAAACTGTTGGAACTAATAAATTCAGTAAAGTTTCAGGATGTAAAATCATCATACAAAAATTAGTAGTATGTGTATACACTAAGAGTGAACTATCTGAAAAAGAATTCAAGAAAGCAATTTCATTTGCAACAGCTATAAAAAATAAGATATGTAAGAATCAACTTAACCAAGAAGGAGAAAGATCTCTAAACTGAAAAGTATAAAATTTTTATAAAAGAAATCAAAGAGGACAGAAATAAACGGACATAATCCCATGTTTACAAATGGGAAGAATTGGTATTGTTATGTGGCTGTACTACCCTAAGCAACCTATGCATTTATTACAATCTCTATCAAAATACCAGTAACATTCTTCACAAAAGAAAAATAATTCTAAAATTTATATGGAACCACAAAAAGACGCTAAATAGCCAAAGCAACCCTAAGCAAATATCACAAAGCTAGAGAAATCGGGCTACCTTACTTCAACATACACTACAAAACTAAAGTAACCAAAAGAGCATGGTACTGGCATAAAAACAGATACATGAATCAATGGAACACAATAGGGATCCCAGAAATAAATTCACACATCTACAGTGAACTGATTTTCAACAAAGGTAAGAAGAACACACATTGAGGAAAAGACAATCCCTTCAACAAATGATGCCAGGAAAATTGGATATTTACATGAAGAAGAATGATACTAGACCCCAAACTCTCACCATATACAAAATCAACTCAATATGAATCAAATATTTATATGTAAAATCTGAAAATATGAAACTATTAGAAAACAGGAGAAATGCTTTACAACTTTGGGCTGGGCAAGGATTTTTTTTTTTTAAATAAAACCTCTAAAGCACAGGCAACAAAAGCAAAAATAGGCTAATTTGATTACATCAAACTAACATGCATTTACACAGAAAAGGAAACTATTAGCCAAGTTGAAGAAACAACCTACAAATGAGAGAAAATATGTGCAAATTATACATCTAACAAAGGATTTATATTCAGAATATATAAGAAATTTAACAGCAAAAGAACAAATAATCTGATTTAGCAATGGGCAAAAAAACTTAATATACATTTCTCAAAAGAAGACAAGTGATCAACAGGTATATAAAATATATCCAACATTACTAGTCATCAGGGAAATGCAAATCAAAACCACAATGAAATACCACTTTACTCTAGTTAGAATGGTTATTATCAAAAAGACTAAAGAAAACAAGTGTTGACAAGGATGTGGGGAAAAGGGAACACTTACACACATTGTAATCTAGTAGAGACATTATGGAAAGAAGTATAGAAGTTCCTCAAAAAATGAAAAATAGAACTACCATATGATCCAACAATCCCCCAGTGGTTATGTATCCAAAGAAAATGACATCAGTATTCAAAGAGATATCTGCACTTTCATACTTATTACAGCACAATTTATAATTTCCAAGATATAGAATCAACCTAAAAGTCCAACAAGGGACGAATGGATGAAGAAAATACGGTGTTTATACTCAGTGGAATACTATCTAGCCATCAAAAAGAATGAAATTCTGTTGTTTGTGGTAACATGAATGAACCTGCAGGACATCATGTTAAGTGAAAGAAGCCAGACACAGACAGACAACTATTGCATGATCTCACTCATACCTGGTATCTAAAATAAAAGAAGTTGATATCTTAGAAGCTTAGAGTAGAACAATGGTTACCAGAGACTGTAGGGGGGAGGGGAGAGGAGAGGTTGAGGAGAGCTTGGTCAATAGATACAATTAGATAGAAAGAATAAATTTTGGTGTTCTATTTCACAGTAGGGTGACTATGGTTTACAGTTTAATATTGTATATTACAAAATAGCTAGAAGATAGACTTTTGAATGTTCTCATCACAAAGAAAGGATAAATGCACAGAAGTGACAGATACACTAACTACCCTGATTGGGTCATTATGCAGCATAGATATGTATTGAAACCTCAAAGTGTACCTCATAAATATGTACAATTACAATGTGTCAATTAAGAAAACAAATATTTTTTAAATAAATTTGAGTTTTAAAATCAGTTCTAATTTTTAAATACATAAGCTGAGATTATTGGTGTTCCTCCTAGAATTTGGAATAAAATGCCAAATGCTATCTAAATGTCCTAGCCTACTCCTCTATACATGGTGCAATTAGACAGTACAGTTTGCTTGAAAACAGTATAGAAGTTAAATACATAAATAGTTAAATACACGCTATGTTTGTATATGGACTTCGAACAATAAACCTGCCCATACATACCAACCACACATATGTCTGTGAAAATTTGTTCTTTTAGGGTATATTAGACCATTTATTTTGAAAAATATGAACAAACAAGTAATCAACTTCAGGCTGTGTACTTATAAATGCTTCCCTGTGCTTTGTAGATGAATTTGTTTTTTGAGAACCTTACGGAGCTTGTCTGTGATCTAATGTCCTTCATGTCTTTCTTTAAAAGAAAGTCTTCTTTTGGATTTCTCATTATCAGATTGATTGCCTGTTACAGTTTGTTGGTCAATGGATGTTTGTTCATATTTGTATTCAACAAATTTACATCTTCTCTGATTGTTGATATGGGCCACGTACATGACATATGCAAGTACAGTGATTTATTACTTGCCCATATATAAGAAGACCAATATCTTGGACTGTAAGATACTTGCTAACATAGTTCCCTCAGGCTGGAATAATGCACAGAAAGCTCTTTACTACAACACTTCTTTGAGAACTTCCTTAGGGACAATGTCCATTGACTTTAGCAGTAGTCTGCAAATCTTCTAAATGACATTTTGATTTTAGGCAGATGTTGGTTTCAATTACATAATATTTTTTATTAGGAATATAAATTGAAAATTCCCAGTGAAGTCAACTAATTACATATTATTATCTCGAATGAGGTAATACATTGCAAGCTATAATTTAATTAATCCTACCTTAGTGGCTTCTATACATATGTCTGATACACACTAAAAAACTTAATTATTTTAAGCAGATAAATCTGGCTCAATATTAGAACATCTTATTTAATTCAGAAAATATTTAATTTTGTAAAAAAAAAAATCTTTCCATGTTCTTACTTCTTTCTTTAAAATGTTTTTCATGTTTTATTAAAATCAAAATACATTGTTTTCTATAAAAATGATAAAAATATCCCTTAAATTTTAGGCTGATAATCTTACTATTAGAAAGTTTTATTATACCCTAGTTATTTGTTTACTTCTTGCTATTAATAAGAGCTGACCTCCATTTCACACTAAGTGTGAGGTCATAAGGTACTATTACAAGTGTATGACATATATTAACTAATTTAATTAAATTATTATTAAATTCTACTAATAGTTGCATTTAAGCATATTAAAAATTAAGATTAGTAAAACTTCTCAAAGTTTCTATGAATAGTTTTCAAATTAAAAATTAATTTTCCTTTAAAACATTTAACAAGGCAAAAGATATAAAATTATTTATTTTAAATGAATTGTTCAAATAACAGTTGTTCATTAATAACATACCATTGAATACATTTTTTAAAAAATTAGACACTTTAATTTGGAATCAATATTTATAAAGATAAAATGTTGGAATATGCATTTAATAAAAAGAAATAAAAAGTATAGATCAGTGCCTATATTTAAGAAGTGCTAATTATAATGAGAAGTTTTCACTGTGGAAGTAGCAATTAAAAAAACAGTGTGTTTCATACTCAAATGACTTTATGTTTGCTAACTTTATTTTTTATTGTATTTGAGCAAACTCTTTAAGCTAATGACAAATCCAAGTTATGTGAGTTTAAAATGTGACAATACTGTGTATCTCTAAAGTACTATGTATCCCTAAAGTATTTGACAATACTGTATATCCCTAAAGAACTCTTAAGGATCTGTGATTGTGTATCTTTCAGATATTTATTTATTGAGCATTTACATTGAAAGAAGAATTATTAGATGCTAAAGGGGCATCTGAGTCGTTACTAGAGTGTCAAATAATGCATTTTGATTGAGGTAGTAAATACATAAATTCTTTGAATTAAACAAATGAAAGCATGGTCAAAATTGTGTGTGAGGGGTGTAAATAAACAAATTAATGGTATTTTCTCATTTATCCCCAAATGTGCTATTAGTAAACACTACAAACATGAGTCTTTATTATCTTTCTCTACTTTGTGCCACAATTAAAGGCTCCAACTTAGAATTGGCTACACTACTTATCTGCATGCATTGTCTTTCTATTAATCTAGAAATCTAGATTAATAGAATAGAAAAATTCTATTAATCTAGAAAATAGCAAAGATAAGTGAAGAATAAGTGATAACAACACTAATACCAGTAGTTTATAATTATAAGTATGCCAAAGGAAAAATAAAGCAAAAATTAAAAGAACTATGTGAGTACAAAGCATGTATATACAGCAGTATCTCTGACCCATGAATAAAAGTTAAAAGGGAGATAAATTATGTGTGAATAAAATGGGTGATACCAAAAAAGGGTGAGTTTTGAGTTTCTCAGAAATTTTCATATTAATGATGAGCTAACAAGGCATCAATATTTTAAAACAAAATTCTTCAGCATAAGTCTAGGGATGTTAAATGTTTCTTAGGTGTTGGATGTGGAGATGGGTCACCCACATTTCGCAGGGAGTATCCTATTGCCACTGGTCTTAGGAGTGTAAGTGGCAGGAAAGCTTCAGCCCCTTAAGGGATTGCCTGAGTTGAGAAGCTGCCCTGCTCAAGGTCACACCCATTTCCAGAGCAGAGCACATCTGCATATCTGTGACTGAAAGAGGGAGGGATATAAAGGCCTAGGCCACTTCCACTTCAAGCAAAACAACTCTGATTGGTCATTTTTAGCTTCATAAATCACTGGGTCAGCTAAGTTTCTGGTCACCATATGGAAATCCACTTCTACCTCTGTCAGGACTACTTTCTTTCCCCCTTGATTCCATACATTAAACTCTGTCTCAACATCTGATTCCCAGAGAATCCAATCTGTAACATCTCGTAAATACAATGTAACTTTTAAAAATAATTATATATAAAATTGCACTTCATAAGAATGACTGCTTTTCCCCCTGTACCTAGGATAAAGTTACATTTATTCATAGCTGATTTTCTGTAGAAAGCATGGAACAGACGTGGCAGAATCTAGAAAAAAATGCTATAAAATCTGTGATAACTGTGTTGTATCTGAAGAAATGAATAGGCTAGGATTCTGATGACAGTAATCACACAAGCCAGAACCCAACAAAAACCTGGTTTGTTTTCAAACTGTGTAAGAATGTCAGAATTAGACATGCAATGTTAAAATAAGTGTAAAATTTAGACACATATCTTGTTTTTCACACTTTCTTTAAAAGGCAGCAGTCTCTAGTATCTTCTGTTTTACACACTAAACTATTTTGAAATCTGCCTATGATCACAGAATTTTTTGATGTGCTAAAGTGTTTAAAATACTCAGCTTTTAAAATTTCAATTAGTAAGTGCTAATTAGCATCTAAAATGAGGAAGAGGTCCTAGAGAGGTTGTAATAAAAACCAGGAAGATAAAAAGTTGAGAGGCCCAGCTAAAGGAAGAAATTACTTTAAAACAGAGAAGAGTAGAATTGAAGAACAGAAGGTGGAAAATGAGAGGAAAAAAAGGAAACAAAATATTCTGAGGAAAGTAAAGGGAGGAAATGAACAAGGTCCTTTCTTCGTAAGGCTTATTTTTCTTGCCTTTGCTTTAAAATGAGATACCAAAATCATCTTTGTGTACTTGAATGAATTGTTTGATTTTGTTTGATTTTGTCTCACAATTGAATCTGACCAAAATGAAATTCCATTCAGCTACTAGTAGCTTTCTATTTCCAATACTTAATAATTATAGGCAACAATGTATACTAACCTTAATCTCAGTGTTGTTCTTTTGTTTTCAATTGTACAGATTTCAATAGAAATTTATAAGGTTTGAGAAAGATAACAACCCAATGCATTCTTTTAATTATAAAAATTGCAGAAAAATCTCCTAAGAAATTATTTTCTTCTATGAATTGACAACTCAAATATTTTAATTAGAAAGTTCTTCACCTGTCTTATATGCATCCCAATAAGGGAAATGTCATATGACTGGCCGTCTATGCTATAGGCAGCTGGAGACAATTCTTGAATTTCTTACAGGAAGAGAGCCAAGATAACCATCAGCAAAACAATAGGTAATTGAGAACATCAAGGAAACCATTCTTTAGTAAAGGAAAACAACAGAAGCCTCAGAAGGCAAAACAGAGCAGATGGCCCCAAGAATCTTTTGGACTAGGTTATTTTTGTGCTCGGTCCATAGCTTATGAAAGAAAGTGAATAAAGTGGAAGCAAATTAAGCATTGCATATGGATGTGGGTGTTAGTTTCTTAAGGTGAGAACCAAATTCACAAACCTAACATTAAATCAGAACTGTTGTTTCTAACTAGAATGGCATGCTGTATTGCTTACAGATAAGATTATGTAATCATGTTGAAAAGAATCATACATTGTGAACACAGCCTTCTTGAATGCAATAATTTGGCTGAAACATAAACTGTGTTTATTTGCTTTGACCACTATTTTCATCAAGTCTTAAGTTGCTTTTTGTTTTCATAATAAAATTACCAAAAACATTGCATTTGATATTGCCAAATTGTTAAAAAGATAGAAAAAAATTATTTCAAAGAAGTCAAAAACTTACTCTTCAAAAATATGTTTGTAAGAGCTTTATAAAGCAGTAAAGCAGTGTATACAAGTCTATGTGACTGTGTATGTATATGAGTGTGTGTGCCAATGAACAAAATATCCTATTGTGTTTATCTTTGAAGGCCATAAAAAAGTGTTAATAGAATAAGGACATGTTCTAATGCAGTTTCATGTCAATGAAGCAGTAATGGACAAGTGTTAAGTTGTCCTAACCTGAAAATTAGCACATTTCATAACTGCAATCTCAATGAATTTTAATAAAACTTTTCACAGTTTTAAGAATGATTTCAGCTTTCCTCTTACAGTTTGGGCTAATCATATTAAGGAATTAAAATTGGAAAATTATAAAGCATAATACAATCATGTTAGTCATCTAACTTCTTTATCTTCATTTGTCATTGAATATTGTCCAAATTCCTCAGTACTTCACGTTGGCCCTTAATGCCGTGCAGTGTGTGTATGTGTGAGATTACAATTCCTGATGGAGGCACTTGGAAAAGTGATGGGAGAAATGGGTGAGTTGTGTTTGTATCAGCTTTTTGCAAATACTAGGGAGTACTTGGAATTTAGTGGATAGGGCAAGTGATGTTTAACTTCCCTCAAATAATTTGTCTGAACAAAGAAAAATTTGTCCAAATTGCCAGTAGTATTTCTGCTGAACAACACTTCATCGTAATCTGACTTGACTGTATTTCTGCTAGCTTACATTCATTTCATTCTAATTCACACACTACATCACAGGCAAACTGAGCATCCTATCTTCTTTAACCTGGGTCTTTGTACATTGTTTCCTTTTCCTGAAATGCTTTTCCTTTCTTCCATTCTCTGCCAACATGAAGCTAGACAACTAACTACTTTTCCCAGTTTCAGCCCACAGGTGGCTTCCTTAGCAAAGTGTTCCCTAGCTCCCTCATGATTCATTAGTTATTTATCTCTCTGCATCTGCAAAACACAAACCATTCCACTAATACAATGTGTGCACCTGTTTGTCTGATTTAATGTTGTTTGCATGCTGCTGCCTTCAGACAATGAATCAGTTCTTATTCATCTTTACATATGGAGACTCTAGCACATTGAAATCTATGTGTTCATTAAGTGCCCAATTAATGTCAAATAAAAAAATACAAAGAGCACATGAAAAAGTGAGTAAATCTATGCAAAAAAATAAATACATAGAAATACATGTTACAATGTTTGATCTGGGAAAGTGCTCTTGTTTTGAAAGAAATATCACACATATACACTAAAAAAATTATGAAAGATTTATGACTCAGTACAGTAAATTTATAATTCTAATTATATATATAATTATATACATATATTTATATATATAACTATATACATATATTTATATATATATATACACACACATATATATACACACACACAGAGAGAGAAAGAAAGAGAGTCAGGTTCTGTGAAAATTGCTGGAAATTAGAAGTAGAAAAGCCAATATTGGTACCTACCCTCACAAATATTGCAACATTGGGGAAGACAGATGATTAAGCAAATGAATAAAACAAAGTTTAATTACTGATCTGAACTGTATTTAAAGTCTTACTTCTGTGCAACCTTTAAAAAAGTACTGAATCTTTCTGAATTTTAGCTTACAAAATATATAAAATTTAAAAGGAGACACTTCCTCTCACATACTGGTGATTATGTTATGAGGATTAAGATAGGCTATACAATCATCTAAGACGATGTCTGTTATGTGAGAAGTCTTTAATAATTGATAACTAATATTATATGAAAACTGTATAAATTATTAGAATGGCTTTTTTTCTGTGCCTTCTGTTTTTCTCATAAAGTTTTAAGAATTAATATTTCTTACATTTTGTACTCAAAAACAGAAAATTTGCTTGTAATATTTTATGTTTCTTAATTTTTATGTAATAATATATTAGTTATTTATTTCATAGGCCAGTTTAGATTTAGATCCCATGAACACTGCTTTAACATGTCTTTTGACAATTTAGGATGAATTCAGGAATGTATCAAAGTACAATCAAGAACAATGTTTTGCTTTTTCTTTGCTTTTCGTTACTGTGACTTATTTCCCTCTGGCTTTTTCAGCTTTCTCTCAAGTTAATACTTTCTCAACTCTTAGATGCCTGATATCTTGTCTTGCCATTAATCACTGTGAACTTAACAGCTAGCACAACTCTCAGTATTATCTTGAGTTTAATTCTGTGTACACAGCAATGAATCAAAGTCATGAAAACAGAGGATTGTACCTCTTCAAATCAAAGCATTTAAAAACATTTATATCATTTAAACTTTCAGGCTTAAAAATACTTTTAGTTCTGACAGTTTTCTCTTTGAAGTTAATATAGTTTAAACACACTATCTGGTAAAATTTTACTTGATGAAAAAGTATTAATTAGCTATAATTATTGAAGGTGATTTTGCCAAAAAAATTAATGGCTTCATTAAAAGTATTAACATTTTATTGTTTTTTCTAAAACTACTGTTTCTGTGTTTATTACTCAATATTGATGTATTATCTCTTGTGTCTTAACACCCTTTGGACAAATGATAAACTATAAATTTGCTACATATATGATAAAACAAGTGATCAATTGGGTCCACTAATTGACATTAGGCAAAGTCACTGAGTTTTTGAAAATATTTCGCTATGATTGATTAAAAAAACCTCTGGGTTAAAACCATGTTATTTATACTATGAAAATTTTCAAACTCTACTACTTTTAGTTCAAATTTTATTTCTCCTAAATTATGAGTAGTAAACATGAATCTTATTGATATTATAAGCTAATTGGGAAATTTTATGTGGAAAATTATATATCATAAAATTATGGAAACAAATAGTTTAGGAATTTAAACATTCAGTACATATTAACTTGTTTCTAAAATATTAACTCTTAAAAAGGAAGTTCAGAGAACATCAATAAAGTAGAACTGAATTCAAGATTTTCCATGACGGTTAAATATGAAAACATGATATATTATTTCTATATAAAGGCAAATATTTTAAAAGAATACCTTTTTGGTTTATTTCTGCACTGTTGAGACTGTGTCTTAGTACACATCTTATTAACCAATGATTTTGCTATCTGTTTGAATGTATGCTTTGGCTGTCAGGTAAATTTTTTCATAATCAAAAGTAAGTTTGAATAAACCTAAAATCACATGAAGGAGGAAATCATTAGATCCAAAAAGGGCTACAAGTTTAACAAGTTAAAATATAAATTAGCAGGCAAATTTAATTTTATGCTTTTTTGTTTAAAAAAAAGTGGTAAAATTTTATTCAAAATATTTATTGCTCTGATTTTCTCTTAGGAGAACTTTATAGTTTAGTTGTTAAAGATGAATACTATTATACTTCCCTAATAAATTAAGTTAAACTATAGGCCTGAGCAAAGCAAGCCTTAGCTATTTTTATGTGATCAGTACACAGGATTAATAAAAGTGATCATTTTCCACCTAGTACAAAAAGTTATAAGAAATATTCAATCATGGTGGATTGATGAACCTAGACCTTTGGCTTGTCATACTAGGAACACTTAAATAACCATAAAAATAATTATCAAAACATTAACAATCAAAACTATCCAAGGAGTTTAAAAGACCTTTTTTTTTTTCAGGTACTAACTTGGCAGGCATTAAATTCACTTTCATTTGTTAATGCAGCATTTATTCTAGAGATCTTTTGTCAGATTAATCGAGAAACAAATGCTATGCATAAAGTATTTGGATGTTAAAATAGAAACAAGATAAGGTCTTAGGTGTAGACAGGTAACAAGCTAGTGAAGACTGAAAAAGCATGAATTAATTGAATACATCATTGAGAAATGGAAGCGCAATATATTGGTCCTGCTTCTAGCATCTAAGTATAAATATAATCAAATAGTTGATATAGTTCATTACTTTTCTGTGAAATAAAGGAATTTGTAAAGATGACCTGTTAGGCTCTATAGAAGAAAATGTCATAATTGCAACTAATAATATTTATACTAAATGTTAATCTTGGCTAGAATAGAAGCTCCTAACATAGAAGACCTAAGGTAGACTGCCTAGCAGAATGTTTACCTGGTATTATTCTTTTTATTTTATAGAACAACAAAACCCAATATTTAAAAGGAGGATTAGAAATACTTTATAATTGGCCTAAAGTCACATAGTTTATAGGTGCCTTAAAGGATTACAATCCAACCCTCTCCAAAGACTGACCTTTCCGCTAAGCTGCCCAGCATCCTGGTCTCCCTGTATTAGTAGGCCTTGTGGCAAAGTAAGCACCACTTGTTTATGTTCTTTTTATATAAACTTTCTTGTGAAGGAGGGGAGAATAAATCAATTACATCAACTTTAAACTAGAAGACTTTGAGTCCCATCCTGTACTTGTTTAAAGTCAAAAGTTAGCACTGTGTTGTTGTCTTTAGAATCCACAAAGCCAAAATTTAGTATGGGAAGATTTATTGAAGATAAGCTTTTAAAAAATAGTGCCTGAAATTAGTAAAAATATATATTTTGAGACTATATTGAAGAATAGTGACTCTAGTGTACAATGGGAATATGTGGGTTAAGGAAATTGACTACTCTGTTTCCTTGACAGCAATTTTCAGTAATATGCATATAATTAATGTCCTTCTAATAAAACTGCAGTCTTTAGATTTCAGACACAGACACAGGGACCTTACTTTTAACCATTGAACCATGCTTTAATAATTATTATTAAAGTCTATTATTACTATTATTATTACTTGTTCCATCCAGCTTAGGTTAATTATTTAAAGTGTTCTTCTGATCTTATGGATATAAAGAAAAAGGTATAGGAACTAACATGAGGATTAACTTAGATTTTTTTCATTTAATTTAGACTTATATTTGATTAATATTCTTAACAGTAAGGGAATATTACTACATATATGTGTACATAATGTATATGTAACTATATATGAATATATGTGTATATGCACGTATGTGTATATATGTGTATATGCACGTATGTGTATATATGTGTATATGCACATATGTGTATATATGTGTATGTGTGTATATGATGTATACGTATATGTGTATAGACACATATATGTGCCTCTACACATGTTTATATGTGTGTATATGTGTATATGATGTATATGTATATGTGTATATACACATATGTGTGTATACATGTATGCGTATCATGTGTCCATAAGTATATGTATATACATACATGTGTCTATACATATAAGTATATGCGCATATGTGTATATATGTGCATGTGTATGGCGTATATGTACATATGGCTATATGTGTACATATATGTACATATATGGCTATATGTGTACATACATGTATGCATATATGTCTATATGTGTACATACATGTATGCATATATGTCTATATGTGTACATACATGTATGCATATATGTCTATATGTGTACACACATGTATGCATATATGCATGCATACATGTCTATATGTTTGCATATATGTATACACATATGTCTATATGTTCACATACATGTGTATATGATGCATACATATATGTGCGCACATATGTATATGATGTGCACATATGTGCTCATATATGTGTATGATGTGTACATATATGTATGATGTGTACATATATGATCCACATATATGTATATGCATATGCATGTATGTATAGACACATACATATCACATATATGCATGCTCCCGTATGTCTGTGTATATATGTGTGTATATTTACAGATATGTGTACATATATACATATACGCACATATGTATATATACATATATGTACATATGTATGTGCATGTATATACGTATATACATATATGTACATATGTATGTGCATGTATATATACATATATGTACATATGTATGTGTATATGTATGTATATATGTACATATGTATGTGTATATGTATGTATATATGTACATATACACATATGCATGTGTGTGTGTCTATATATTTTTTTTTAATTTTTTATTTTTTATTTTTATTTTTTGAGATGGAGTCTCGCTCTGTCACCCAGCCTGGAGTGCAGTGGCACAATCTTGACTCACTGCAACCTCCACCTCCTGGGTTCAAACAATTCTCCTGCCTCAGACACCCAGATACCTGGGACTATATGCATGCTCCACTAAGCCCTGCTAATTTTTTTATAGTTTTAGTAGAGACGGGGTTTCACTATGTTAGCCAGGATGGTCTCAATCTCCTGACCTCGTGATCTGCCCCCCTGACCTCCCAAAGTGCTGGGATTACAGGCATGAACCACTGTGCCTGGCCTATTCATTTTTAAAATTTATGAAAAACAGTAGTTTACAGCAGTATGAAGTAATAAAATTGCCTTACCATAAAATAAATAATAAAATTTCTAAGTTCTTAAACTTTAGAATGCATAAGAATATTCAAAATTTAGAATTCTAAGCCCATATAATTCAAACCCAATAATCAAAATCAATAGTCCTGAGGTGAGACCAAGTACTGAATATTGACTATAAGATATAGATATTTAGATAGGAAATAAAGCATCAGGTATTTCAGGAGTCACTAAGAAATGCTGAGCTAGAAATTTTCATATATGAAGAACTCTAATTATTAGAAAAATTATAGTCATATTTTTTAAAGAAGAAAACACAAATAATTCAATGGTCTAAAAGCAACACAATTTAAATAAAATTACTATAAATTCTAACGGGGTGTATGAAGTAAATAAACCAGGCTTTCAGTTACAGTACAGTCATATTTTTGGGAATGAATCATGTCACAAAAAAGAAAAAGATCTCCAGAAGGCCTCTATGAAGAAATGACATTTAGTTTTTCAAGCAAGCAAATTTAACGGCTTCAGATATGACTTTGGCCTTGAACTTCCTGTGTCATTCCTTGATATGTCTGAGCAGGATTTAGAAAATAGTACTTCTGAATGTCCTTGCAAAGGTCAATTCATTTCTCTGGTTCTCAGTGTCCTCCTCTGAAAGCAGGAGAATTTGAAGTAGATATATATTTAGTCCCTTCAAGTTCTACAGTTCTGTGTTTTTAGGTTGACTTTGCTTACTTTACCTATTTTGTAGGTTGACTTTGCTTACTTTACCTATTTCCTTAGCACATTTAAATGGTGCTAAGGAAAAGTTCCTGTGTTCCTCAGAATATTTTCCACTGTAATTATATTAACATAATCTTTTTGATGCACAGTTTTGATCTGCAACCGTCTGTCAACACATAGAACAGCTGAAAGACCTAACTGTTTAGTGAATTTTTTATAAGTCCTGGAAAGATTTTGTCATTCCATATCAGAGGAGTCATGATTTCTAAAATACAATTCTTTCATAATGCATTTTCAAATAAGAGTTTTAGAAAATGGGAAAATCTGTTCATGAACATTCGTAAATAGAACAGATCTAAAACTAACACATATAGTGTCAAAATATAGTGCAAAAATATTAAAAAGTAAAAGTTCTTAAAAATATAAATATTGAGATGATACAAAATATAAAAATTTAAATCCTGAAGAGACATAATGTGCAATGAGTGAATTTCATAAAATTTAGTATTATGCTATGTTGATATTAAACATTGAAAATAAATACTAATAAAAATGGTTTGTAGCAAAAAATATTATCAGCAAAATACACACATTTCTTATTGCTCCATGATTCACAAAACATGACAAATCAAGTCATTAATGAGTTTAATTAATTAATCTTATTATTTTTCTGAAGCATATATTTAGTTCCTATGATGTGCCAAACACACACACAGTTTAATATATATAGATATATATATACACTGTTTAAATATATATATTTATATACATATACAGACACTGTTTTTTATATATATACTGTTTATATATATATTATACATAAACATATATAATATAAATATATAATATAAATCTATATATATATATATACACATATTTTTTTTCTACACAAAGGAATTAAGTCAGGTTACTAAAACTGTATTCCTGGTGAAGCAGACATTAATATAAATTAATGTTATTAGCCATATCAAAAAAATTTCTCAACGATACTATATGCTACATCCCAAACACCTTCCAGTGTAGAAGTATATGGTGTGAGTACAAAAAAAATTAGCTTTACATGGTCAGCTTTATGAGGATGTTTATGGAGGAAATGTGGGGAAGACTCATTAAAGACAAGCAAAAATTACTTGTGAGCAGTAAAGTAAAAGATATCACCAGCTTGCACGTCCTATTAATATGTTTCTCAAACTCTATTCTCTGGGATTTTTTTCTTGATATTATAATGGGTCTTCCAAATGAGGAAAATTTTCATTTTCATAAAATTTAGAAAATGTATTAAATTAAAGTCAAGGGGGTTTTTGGTTTTGTTTTTGGGGTTTTAATTTTTTTTTTTTTATTGAAGGTTGTTTATAAACTAACATGCATTGTAAGTTTTCAAGACAGTTTCAAGTAGACATATGGTATTGAATCTATCAAATGTTTCTCACTCCTGTTCATCTTGGAACTATTTATGCATAGAAGGCCCTGTCCAGTGAGCATTGTTTACGTATCACTGGTATAGAGTAAAATGCATGCTTGAACAATTGCTTAAAAAGCCACTGCAACTTTAACTTCACCTTTATTTTAAGCTCATCTGTATTTATCCATTTGTTCCATTGACTTTCACAATTATGTGATTTATCCTTTTTGAATCACTTAATTTTTTCTCTGAAAACTCTATGCACTAAAACAGCTGTTTAACCTTTCCAATGCTGTTTTATTTGTCTGAAACACCTCCTCCTCCTAGTCTGCTTGACAAGCACTTATTTGCCCTCCACTGTCACCTTTTATCTTTGGTTTCATCTGGCCATTATGAACTGTTCACTCATTTGTCTTTTATCAGCTGCTGTTTAAAGATAGATCCATTACAGTACTTTTCATGTTATAGTTTTATGTCTATGAATGTTTGTTGAGTTTAATTAAATTGAAATACAGGAATGAGAACTGGGCATGATTGGGGTTGAAATTGTGAGGACACACATAAGAGCAAATGTCCTTAACCTGATAAGCAACTTCAGCAAAGTCTCAGGATACAAAATCAATGTGCAAAAGTCATAAGCATTCTTATACACCAATAACAGAAAAACAGAGAGCCAAATCATGAGTGAACTCCCATTCACAATTGCTTCAAAGAGAATAAAATACCTAGGAATCCAACTTACAAGGGATGTGGAGGACCTCTTCAAGGAGAACTACAAACCAGTGCTCAACGAAATAAAAGAGGACACAAACAAATGGAAGAACATTCCATGCTCATGGATAGGACGAATCAATATCATGAAAAATGGCCATGCTGCCCAAGGTAATTTAAAGACTCAATACCATCCCCATCAAGCTACCAATGAGTTTCTCCACAGAATTGGAAAAAAACTACTTTAAAGTTCATATGGAACCAAAAAAGAGCCTGCATTGCCAAGTCAATCCTAAGCCAAAAGAACAAAGCTGGAGATATCACTCTACCTGACTATACTGCAAGGCTACAGTAACCAAAACAGCTTGGTACTGTTACCAAAACAGAGATATAGACCAATGGAACAGAACACAGCCCTCAGAAATAATACCACACATCTACAACCATCTGAATTTGACAAACCTGACAAAAACAAGAAATGGGAAAATGATTCCCTATTTAATAAATGGTGCAGGGAAAACTGGCTAGCCATATGTGGAAAGCTGAAACTGGATCCCTTCCTTACACCTTATACAAAAATTAATTCAAGATGGATTAAAGACTTAAATGTTAGACCTAAAACCATAAAAACCCTAGAAGAAAACCTAGGCAGTACCATTCAGGACATAGGCATGGACAAGGACTTCATGTCTAAATCACCAAAAGCAATGGTAACAAAAGCCAAAATTGACAAATGGGATCTAATTAAACTAAAGAGCTTCTGCACAGCAAAAGAAACTACCATCAGAGTGAACAGGCAACCTAGAAAATGGGAGAAAATTTTTGCAATCTACTCATCTGACAAAGGGCTAATATCCAGAATCTACAAAGAACTGAAACAAACTTACAAGAAAAAAACAACCCCATCAAAAAGTGGGCAAAGGATATGAACAGACACTTCTCAAAAGAAAACATTTATGCAGCCAACAGACACATGAAAAAAATGCTCATCATCACTGGCCATCAGAGAAATGCAAATCAAAACCACAATGAGATAGCATCTCACACCAGTTAGAATGGCGATCATTAAAAAGTCAGGAAACAACAGGTGCTAGAGAGGATGTGGAGAAATAGGAACACTTTTACACTGTTGGTGGGACTGTAAACTAGTTCAACCATTGTAGAAGACAGTATGGCGATTCCTCAAGGATCTAGAATTAGAAATACCATTTGACCCAGCCATCCCGTTACTGGGTATATACCCAAAGGATTATAAATCATGCTGCTATAAAGACACATGCACACGTATGTTTATTGCAGCACTATTCACAATAGCAAAGACTTGGAACCAACCCAAATGTCCATCAATGATAGACTGGATTAAGAAAATGTGGCACATATACACCATGGAATACTATGCAGCCATAAGAAAGGATGAGTTCATGTCCTTTGTAGGGACATGGATGAAGCTGGAAACCATCATTCTCAGCAAACTATTGCAAAGACAAAAAACCAAACACTACATGTTCTCACTCGTAGGTGGGAATTGAACAATAAGAACACTTGGACACAGGGCAGGGAACATCACACACTGAGGCCTGTCGTGGGGTGGGGGGAGGGGAGAGGGATAGCATTAGGAGATATACCTAATGTAAATGATGAGTTAATGGGTGCAGCACACCAACATGGCACATGTTTACATATGTAACAAACCTGCACGTTGTGCATATGTACCCTAGAACTTAAAGTATAATTGAAAAAAAGAAAAACTGAAATAAAACCCAAAATATGAATGTTTAAATTTGGAGGTGTTTGAAAGTGACAAAAAGCATAATGCCAGAGACTGTTTTATCAAACGTTTGCATAAAGGAGATATCAAAATCTCTAAGCCATTATAATAGGAATAAAAATGAATCTTCCCCACTTGAAAATATTTTTGTAACAGTTTTGGATGCCAAGTTTCTTAAAGAAGATTCTTCTATACAGTTCTTAAAGAAGCATACATGAAGTACTCTTTAAAATTTTAAGTTATATTAACATGTCCATATGTTATTATGTGGGTAAAGTAAGTTCTGTACTTAAATATCATATGGTAACCAATCTAAATTAGTATCTTTATTTTCTCAATTTCCCATTATAATTGTGGCGATAACAATGAAAGAAACTGATTTCCATGAAAAAACTGCATACTGAAGAAATCCCAAAATTCCCTTTTTCTTTCTATATTTCAACTATCATCTAAGAGTTAATGTTCATGCATGAATTTGCAAGTATCCTAATAGAAAACAGCTTTTAATCTCATGTTACCATTAAAAAACACTAATATATGTTTTTCTCTCTTTAATCCTGTAATTAATTTTTGACACTGAGCACACCCATAACTGCAGTTGTTAGGATATTGCTTTATTATTTTGAAATAAATTTCACATTATGAGCCATTTTAGTAAAACAGCAGAGTTGCATAAATTCAGTGGAATCATCTGCAACATTTTCTGTAGTATAAAGAAAAAGAGAAACATAATAAATTAAGTTTTCCTTTTATATACAGACTTTCTATTCTGCTACCAATCAGCCAGCTTACACCAAAATACTATACTTTATTACTTACTGTAGATTTCTAATTTTTACTTTACATACCTGTTAAAACCTGCTTTCCCTTTATGCTTGCTACAGAATTGTCTTGGCCATTCTTGACTCCGTTTTTGTGTATTAAGTTGTAAGTTTTGATTAGAAATTTCCTGAATTTGTAAATTATTTTTGGGAGAATGGTTTCTTTAAATAAAATATTAAAATTTCAACCATTCTTTATATCTATTCAGATATTTTTTATTTCAAGAAAGATTTATAATTATCTTCATACATATCTTGAACATCTTTTCTAATTATTTATTGAAGGTATATAGGACATTTATCTATTTTGTATATTGATATTTTCTCAGCAATCTAGATGAATACTTTTTCTGAAAGATTGTCACTATGTTGATTTACAATATAGAACAGGGTTCTCAACCATTTGCAGCAGAATACTGCTGTGTCACAAATGGTTTACAAGTGAGGGAAGATATTGATCTGGTTCCTTTAGCAATTTCTGTGTTTCCCCTGAAATGAAAAATGCTGGGAAGCACTGAATAGACAATCAAAACATCATTTTTTTTTCTTCTTTTTTCTTCTTGTCACATTGCTCTGGCCGAGTCCTTTCATATGGCTTTGAATAGATGTGCTGATTGCAGTCTACCTTCTCTTGCTTCTCATTTTCAAATAAAACATTTGTAATGTTTCACCCTTAAAAATGATGAAAAAAATAATGTCTGTTGTTGGTTGTTAGTAAGTAGCCATTGTCAGATTTAGAGATTTCCCTTTCATTCCAAATGCTCTGGCATTTAATCTTCAAAAGTATGTGGAATTTTATTAAATATTTATTCCAGCATCCAAAAAGATGAGCCATGATTTTGTCTCATTCCATCTGCTAATATGGCCAATTACATTGATAGTTTTCTTTGCTATTAGACTTTTCTTCTACTTTTGGTTATATGTATTTTAAAATAAAATGCTCTGTTTAGTGTTATATTGATTTGTTAGGACAATCGTAAAAAAAAGGGCCATGTACTGGATGGCTTAAAAACTAAAATTTAATATTTTCACATTTCCGGAGACTAGAAGTTAGAGATTAAAGTGTCAGCAGGGTTGTTTCTTCATAGGCCTCTCTGTTTTCGGCTTTTAAATGGCCATCTTGTGTCCTCACATGGTCTTCCCTCTGTGCCTCTATGTCCTAATCTCCTTTACTTATAAGGACACTAATCATATTGGATTAGGGCCCACCCACATGTCCTCATTTACCTTAATTATATCATTAAAGGCCCTATGTAAAAATACAGTTACTTTCTGAATTATTGGGGTGGGGGCTGGGACTTCACCAAATGAATTTTGACAAGGACACAATTCAGTCCTTAGTAAGTGTGAAAATATTTCTATTAAGGTTTTTTTCATTTAGAGATAATTGTAGATTCACATGCACTTGTAGAAAATAATAAAGGAGGATTCCATGGGCCCTTCACCCAGTTAAAATTGTTAACTTTAAAGTTAACAATTTAATCTCTCTCTTTTTACTTAGTAATTCCATAAGAGACTGTAAACATGCTTACATAATCATTTCCTTTTAAGTTTTTGTGATAATCAGCCCATAAAAAGACATCTATTGTTAAATAATATGTATTTGTATTCATATATATAAAACAAAATTTTATTAGAAAATTTGTGAAAATAGAACTACTAAATAGCAAATCATAACATGTGAACTGTTATAATCTTTGACTTACAGAAATTCCTTTAAGTCTCATAAAGGCTTTATCATCATAAATAATTAATATTACATTGATACTTTCATCTACTGTCCCACAAGGTCAACATTTAATTATATAGGTAACATTTTAAACATGTTGTTTTTTGAGGTTATTTTATAACTCTGTAACCAATTAATGAAACCCAATAGGTACAGTAATTTGTCTTTCAATTTTTTTTCTTAAATCAGATAGAAAATATCTTATTTAACATAAAATCTGGTGACTTTAGATGTGTGATATTAATTTACTCATCTATTAATTATTTAATATACTAACCCAGTAATAATGCAAAATACAAGCTATGCAGAATACTAGTCCTTCTGTCCCCAAGAGCCTATGTATAATAAATATTAAGAATACTAGGAATAGTAGAGATAATTAGATAATAAAGGTACGAAAAGAAAGAGATATTTAATTGAAATGAGACAAACAGGTCTTCACAGAGAAGTAGCAGTATAAATTAAGCCTTAAAATATTAATACATTTTCATATTAAGGGAACATTTTAGATATAAAGAGTAGCATATGTCAATGTTTCTAGCATTAAATGCATCTTTCAGGAGAAGAAGTATGATGAGAGATTTTAGGCGCTATGCAGCCTCTCATAGATGAAACATTTAAGTTGAAGTGACAATTTTAAAATTTTCCTTATTTAAAAATTTTTGTGGCCGGGCGCGGTGGCTCATGCCTGTAATCTCAACACTTTGGAGGCCAAGGCGGGCCGATCACAAGGTGAGGAGATCGAAACCGTCCTGGCTAACATGGTGAAACCCCGTCTCTGCTAAAAATACAAAAATTTAGCTGGGCGTGGTGGCGGGCGCCTGTAGTCCCAGCTACTCGGGAGGCTGAGGCAGGAGAATGGCGTGAACGTGGGAGGCAGAGCTTGCAGTGAGCCGAGATTGCACCACTGCACTCCAGCCTGGGCAACAGAGCGAGACTCCGTCTCAAAAAAAAAAAAAAAATTATGCAAACCTAGGAAAATGTCCCTGATATAACCTGTTGTTGTTGTTTTAATATTGCCTCTTCCTTCTGCAAAATTTTATGTCACAATACTTGGTGCTTCTCTTCATCTCTGGATAATGACTTACGTCTTCAACAAGGTCCACATTCTTAGCAAAGCTTAGTTCTTGAGGGCTCTCAGCACTATGCTGCACTATTCACTCCTCCACATTGCTCTCCAATCACTCTGCCTTTTTAAAATGTTCACTGAAGATCAGGGAAAATAAAAAATGGTTTATCTGGGATGATTATGAGGTCAGCTGTATTTCTGTTGAAAGTGTGATGCTTAGGAAGAGCTGTGACTGATGTGGTAGGAAATAGAGGTCTTTGTCATTCTTTAAGCCACAGAAGTGATTTGAAGAAGAGGTATATTTCATATTTCAAATCTCATTCTCAAATTAAACCCAAACATGGCATTTCAACTTGTTAATTTTTCCTCTGGGCCAAAAGAAAGATTAAAAGTAAATGAAATTAATTAAAGAGCCAAATCGTGATCAAGTAAAATAAAAAGTAAGTGCATATTCAAATGTTAAAGTCATTACTTGGTTCATTCTAGTACCATTTTTATTAACAAATAATCTTATAAAGCTATCAAATTATTAACAACTCCCGAAATATTTCTATTTTGCCTTCTGAATAACGTACTAAATCTGTCCCTAAGAGTCTGTAGGCTGACCCCAAATTTTAAATGTTTCACAGCCACTAAACTTGGCTGGGTGTTATTACTTTCATCTCTCATATAATGAGTTTAGACATGATTTAATTATTTCCATGATTAATCTCAAACATTCTCTTAATCACAAATTTAAAGCACTGAAAAGAGATGACCATGAAAATATAATCTTGTTGAAGCATTCTGTTTTTTTTAAATCATGTACCCTGGTGAGTCCCACAAAATGTTAAGACCCGGAATGAATGGAGTCCATCAGGTCATGTTCCAATGCCTCCAATTGCAGATGAAGTGACTGACATTCTAGAAGAGCTAGTGATTGTCATAAAATTGATCCTTCCTTGCCCTTTAAAGTACCGTCTTCACTTGGACTCCAGGACACTACATATTGGCTTCCATGTCTTTGCTATCTTCATTTCCTTTGTATTCTTGTCTAGTTTTATATATTTAAAAACAATCCATAACCTGAAAAGGCTCAATAGACTTTTCCTATGGACTCCATAGTTTTGTATCTAACTGCCCACTTGATGTGTTTCCTTAATGGTACCTATTATATATTGATGTATCTTAAATTCAACACTGTAACTTAATTGCACAAAACAAACACGTGATATCCACCCCCTCCCATTCCTCCCTTAATTACCAGTCTATCTTCCCAGTTGGCCAAGGTTAAAAAACAAACAAAAACCTTGCAGTCTTTTTTTTTCTTGACTTCTCCTTTCTCTTACATTCTTACTTAATCCCTCAGAAAAGTTTGTTGCTCTTACCTACAAAATACATTTAAAATCTGACCACTTCTCACCCATTTCATTGCTGCCATGTCAGTGTCAGCTTCTGCCTTTTACCTCCAACAGCAGGGAGAACAATTCTGCTCAAATGTGGGTCAGAGCATGTCAGTTTGCTAAATCCCCTTCTGTGTAGAAGCTTTTATATCACTAAGAAGAGGAGCCTTCAAAATGCCCTATAAGGACCTAAATTGTCTGACCTCCTTTCCTTTTGGACCTGGTCTCCCACTCTCCCACGTCTGTACTCCTCTCATTCTTTCACAGTCATCTTGGGCTCCTTCTTGTTCTGCAAAGTTAGGCATTTCCTTACCACATTATTTAAAAATGAACCCTATACCCATACCTGAGCAACCCCACCCTCTTTTGTTTCATTTTTTTCGTAATACTCGTCTGCATCTAAATTATTATAAATTATAATGGTTATTACATAATCATAGGTTTTGTGTGTACGTATGTACCTATGTATGTACTTATTTTTCTGTGTTCTCCCACCAGAATTTAAGTTCAAGGAGGTGATATATGGTTATCTGTTTTGTTCATTATTTTATCTCCAGTCCCTAGAAAAGCATCTGACACAATAATTTTATGTTTCATATAAATAATTAACTTCCAAAAACCCTATTTATAAAACAGCTATTGCAATCCTGACTTATGAAAAGATTAATCTTTACCCTTACTCTGAAAATACAGCAACAATCCTCTAATGTTCTATCTACAAATATGAGTAATATTTATCTTACTTTTATGGATCATAAGATTTTAATTAACTGGGTTTAGAGAATGCCATTATTATTGGATATTTTCTTGGTTTCCAGAAGGAATCTAGTGAGGAATTGTTTTTGGTATTCTAAATTATTTTTAAAATGTACAATAACAACCTCCCACCAGAGATAGTTGCTCAACATTGTCAAATACAAGCCTTGTGAAAGATTTATATTTGATCTTCAAAAATTCAGAAATGTTCAAAGAATGATGAATTGCATTTAATTTTGTTATTTATTCATGAGTTTAATGTTAAAATAAACATTATAACTAAAATTACTAGCTCACATTTTAAAACTTAGTTTGATTTTATTCTTCATTTTCATTATGAAAATTACGGAAATTTAGAGATAATGTGACACAGATATTACCTAATAAAATTGATTTTAGAACAGCCGGTGATCATGAATATAATTTGAGCAATTTTTTCCAACACATAATATTTCCACCTAATAATGTTACTGTCATATATAATGAACAAATATTTATGATAAATAATGTAGTGTTTTCAACATATTTAAAGAAGGAAAGCTCCCCAGAAGAGAGAATAGTAAATTACAAATAATATATTATTTATTTTATTGTCATAAATATTATATACATATTAGTTGACTTCCTGGGATCTGGTAGTATCCACCAAAGGAAAAAAGCTGAATAGAAGACAACTATCTTCAGAACAGAATAAGGAGGAATACCAGCAATTAAAGTGAAAGTGAAGTATGTGACAAAGAGACACTGACACAAAGGGCATTGAGAAGTACCAACCCAAGATACAGGATGGTGATATTAAGGAGTAAAGGAAAAGGTGTTTCTCAAAAGGAGGTTATGACCCACACTTTAAATGCTGCTTTGCTGACAGGTCAATTAACAAAAATGGTGAAAGAGTTCACAACGGATTCTGAAGTAAGATGGTTGTTAGTGATCTTGTCCACAATCTGGAGTGGTGGTAGAAAAGGCAAATTGAAAGTAGTAGTGTAGAAGATTCTTAAGTGCCCACTTGGTGCTCTGCCTGACTGTGGCAGTACTCGTATCTAAAGTGTAAGACAAAGTTCCCTCTTCTTTTTCCTCTGCTTTCCTCAAGAAGGATGTTTTTCCCCCATGGCCACCAAGGTTGGTAATGTGCTGCATCTCACCTGAGGACAGCAAGTCTCAGAGGCTCACCCAAGGCCCTCCACATAGCACCTGGGTATTACTGCTGGTTTTTCAGGACGCAAGGGCTCTTCAGTTAGCAGGTAATGAATGCTGCCAGGACTGGATCCTTTCCTGCAAGTCAGCAGGTTCCTTTCTGGCCCAGGATGTGCCTAGAAATGCCATCTGGCAGCTAGGGCCTGGAACAGGGGCCTCATGACTCTGACCAGTGTCCTATCCTGTGGCTGATCAAGATCAAAGATGCAAGATAAAGTCCTCCCCACTCTTTTCTCTCCTCTGCTCAAGCAGAAGGAAAGGGTTAGGGTTAGCCTGGGTCTAGGGGAGGGGTAATGCCAGCATTCCCTTAGCTGCCCCAGCTGGTGTCTTTGTATGTCACGTTCCCCACAAGTCAACTGTATCAGCTTAGTTCAGTGCTAGGACTTGCCTATGAGTTGCAGTCCCTATGGCCTAGAAACTTATGCCTTATGCCTTTCAAGTTTACTCAGAGACCGGCATTTTGGACCTCAGTGTGAGGTTTGTGGGCACTCAAGTCAGGACTGCTGGGATTAGTGGTTCACCTCTGGCTAGGGTTGTTTAAATGCTCCATTTGTGGGCAGGTGTCAGATGAGTTCGGTGTTCGGTCTGGTTTTTCTTTCTGCTCTAACAGAACAGCACTGAGTTCAGTGCTTCTTTCAGTGATATGAAGTTAAAAAAGGATACTATGAGTGCTCACCTGATTTTGGTTATTGTGACGTGTTTTTCCTTTGTAGATAGTTGTTAACTTTGTGTCCCTGAAGAGGGGGGAAGATTGATGGAGCCTTCTATTCTGCCATCTTGCTCTACCTCTCAACCCCTGGTTCAGACACAAGAGTTTATCATTTGTAGCAGTGTGAATTTGAGCAAATTACTCATCTTTCCTATGCTTCACTAATCTGTAATGGGAATAATAATGCTACTATCTGATAGGTTATTATGAGGATTAAAACAGCTATCCATGTAAAGGTATTGGAACACTGCTTGGCGTAGTAAACTAAAAGTATTACTAAAAGTATTATTATAAAACATTGACTATTATTGTCATTACAATAATTAAAAGTATCTCTTCTCTATCAAGTGTTATTTTCTTCATTTATTTTCCAAGACATTTTCATTAGCCTGAAATTATTTGTGTATCTGTTTTTGGAAACTCATCATAAATAAGAAAAAAAAAATCATTCTCAATGTTTCTCCATAGATAATACATTTTATTCTCTTTTGCTTGTTTTATTGTATAGTCAAGTCCCAATATCACTTTGTTTATAGTGTGTAATCTGGAGGGTTGGTGTTACCAACATAAATTAGCAAATTGGGTTTGGAACCAATGAAGTAAGGATATTAGAGTGTGCTTGATACTACTGTATACGGACAATGAAGCCACTATGGTAGGGCTCAGATATTAGTATTTAGCTTTCTCTTTAGCTATAAGGCTATAAGAAATGAAGCTGTTAGTATTTAGCTTCATTTCTTTGCCTGCTGGAAAATGAATTGAATAACTCTGCCTCACTGTTTTGTTTTGTTTTGGTTTCAATTTTTTATATCCAAGTGGAAGAATCCCAGAGGCTGGAAGAGTAAGCGGCTTTATAATACGTTTGAGGATTAGTGATTATTAAAGGGAGATTCCACATAGTATATTTCTAGTTGCACACCATGCACTGGCCCCTGGTAATTTCTCTTCCAGTTAACTGTTGCTACAAGTGTTGTGCCAGAACATTTTTTTTTTTTTTGAGATGATTTTGCTCTTGTTGCCCAGGCAGTAGTGTAATGGTGCATCTCCACTCACTACAACCCCCGCCTCCTGGGTTCAAGCAATTCTTCTGCCTCAGCCTCCCGAGTAGCTGGGATTTCAGGCATGTGCCACCATGCCCGGCTAATTTTGTATTTTTAGTAGAGAGTGTTTCTCCATGTTTGTCAGGCTGGTCTCGAACTCCCGACCTCAGGTGATCTGCCTGCCTCGGCCTCCCAAAGTGCCAGGATTATAGGCATGAGCCACCACGCCCGGCTCAGAACATCTTTTATTTATAGGCCACAATTTCATATTGGTGCCTCATGTGGGGGATTTATTAGCAATGAAGCACAGTGTTTCTTTGATGCATTTGACAGTTTTTGATAGTTTTACTGCAATTTGATCCAACTTACATTATATTTAAAAAAAATTCCTCAGTGATTTTCAGTTCCCAATATGATGTAAGATTATCTATATTTTGTATTATTTTATTGAAGACCTGAGGGCATGGGTGGAGTTTAAGGGAAGGAGAATTTTATGCGTCGAAGTGGTCAGTCCATTATCTTGTCTGTTAATGGCTTGAGAAGAAGGAGAATCAAAAAACAGCATAGATTTGGCATACAATTCCAGCTTGGATAGTTACTTAACCTCAATATTGCTAAAAAAAAAAATGAGTTTAATGACAGTGACTATTTCATAGAAAAATATGTGATATTTAAATGAGTTAATATACGTAAAAATGAATAGCAATGATTGGCACATAATTAGCGCAATACAAGTGTTTGATGTAATTATTATGAAATTTAATGACTACTTAGCCTTTTATCATTTCAATGTATTTATTTAACCATTCTATGTATATATTCACTTTTTAACATTGCTTTTATTAAAAAATACTGTCATATAAATCTAGATCTTTGAGTATATATTTGTATTTTAGAATAAATTTTCAGACATAGAATAACTGGGTCAATGTTCAAAATAATGAACATAAGCATACTAAGAAATTCCCTTTGAGAATTGATGAGCAAGTTTGTAATTCCATTATTGCTGTATAAAAGAGGCCATTGTACATCACTCTCACCAGCAGTAGTTGATATCATTCCAAAAATTAAAAAAATATTTGCTAAGTTGAACATCAAATTTCACTTATTATGTATAACGTGTTAATATTTTAAATTTACATTTTATTACTAATAAAATGAAATTTTCTTTATTTGTACTTTCATACCATAGAATGTATCATGTATACTTTTGTAATTATATATCATGTTCTTGATATCATCTATATGTGGAAGCATCCTAAATATATAATTTTGAATCTCCTGCTTTCTCTCCTTAGTATGTCATGAATTATATCCTGAATATAATAAATCATATATTGCATTTTATACTATTTTGATTATTTCAAATCTGTATGAATTTCTTTTGCAATTTTTATTACAGATGGTGAGTTAATACTGAATGATATAATTCAGCATTCAGTGGGGTACTTCTACACCATAATGGTGCCCCTTTTACTGTTGCATGTCTGCAATTGATGAGAGCATATTTTATGTTGACTCAAATATGCTGCCTATCTTCGAAGTAATTCTTATTCTACCCCTGTAATGAAAAAAATAATTCTATTTTTTATGTACATATTTATTTTTAAAATATGTGTTTATAATTACATTAATAGGCTATTGAAAACACAATTTAAAGAGAAATATTTTATAATATTAACCAAAAATACATATTAACTATGAAACAAATCTAACATGAGATAGTCAATGCATATCTGTATTTTGAAAAATTTAAACGTGTAAATGCATTGAGGGAAATAGCATATTCATGCACAAGGAGACTCTTCATCATCTCAATTAATTTTCAACTTGATCTATAATTTTAATTAATATTCCAAAAGAATTTTCCAAGAAATGTGCTAAAATGATTACAAAATTTGAATGGAAGGCCAAAGAATAACTATGATGCTCCTGAAGAAAAAGTGAAGTGAAATCCCCTGGCAGATATCAAGACTACTTATGAAGGTGGAACTAGAGTAAGGGTTACCCTACACCATTTAAAGAAAAAGCTTCAGGGGGCTAAACTTTACAAATTTTATTTAAGGTTATAATAGAGAAGACTATGGCTTCGCTATGGGAAATATTTCCTTAAAAACATACAGATATACAACACACACATTCCAAAATTAAACCTAAAAGAAAATATTTATGTATTTAACTACATTAATATTAAGAACTTCTAATAATTAAAAATCCATAAAGTTTAAATCAAGCCACAACATTTCCATGTATGTAAACAAAAGATTCATTTTTAGATGTTACATATTTAGTCATGTAAATTACTAAATTAAGGTTTATAACTTATTAACATCTGTTGAAACTCCTAAAACAAAATTTTTACATTACAATATGTATTGTAAATTCCTTGCCTATGATTAAAAAGGAAAATAGTGTAGAAGGGTATATAGTAAAAGAAAAGTCTCACAACCCTACGATTTATTCATCATATTATCTCTGTTCTTCCTAATTAGCTTTTATAAAATCAGCTTTGATAGACAAAAAGAACAGGGCAATTTAAAAAGTGGAGGTGATTCAGCAGGCAACTTTATTTAGGAAAACATGCTCCAAAGAATATAGGATCAGAAAATTAATCTGCTTAGGTCTAGCAGACATTTTACCACATTGCCTCTTATCCAAAGTGGGACAATCTCATTCATTCAGTGTTTTTTTAGACATTAAAGATAATAATAAAATATATTTATTTATGTATATCCATACATCAGAGCCACTAAATGCAAGGTTACCCCTGTATTTTATTTAGTAGCCAACAACAGGTGGAGAGCAATTTGTTTCAGCACAGGAAATGAAAAGTTAATAATAATAAAATAGAATTTTGGCTATCTGTAGTGGCTTATGCCTTAAGTAATCTCATCACTTTAGGAGGCCAAGGTAGGATCCCTTGAGGCCGTAAGTTTGAAACCAGCCTAAGCAACGTAGCAAGAACCCACCTCCAAAAAATACAAAAATAAAAATCAGCTGGGTGAGGTGGCATACACCTCTAGTCTTAGATACTTTTGAGGATGAGGCTGTGGGATCACTTAGCCCAGGAGTTTGAGGCTGCAGTGGGCTATGATTGTGCCACTACACTCTAGCTTATGGGACAGAGTGAGACCCTCTTTCTAAAACTTAAAATGGAATTCTTCTGTTTGACTTATTAAGAAGTCTTTGTTCTGTAGTCTTCAGTTTGGTTACATGCACTTGAGTTTGGTGGATAAATACAGCTGAAAAACACCTAAAATTTCTGCCATCACTTCTAGAGAGAAAAAATTCGTCATCATAAAGCCATAAAGTGCTCCAATACCTGCTGAGATGACCAGTTAAATCCAGGAAGAGACTTTGGCAAAGATGAAAATGCTTTAAAAGACTGGTCCCTCGCCATGAACTATAAACACTTGTCCATCAAAGCCAAAATTTTATGAGTAATAAAAGGATTCTTAGCCTCTGCTCACTGTTTAAATTTCTAATGGAAGGATAACCTCATAAGAAGAAGTCAAATCCAACCAAGTTTAACATAAATGCTTTAGACATTGTTTTCACCTCTAAAACACATAGATATTATTGAAGTTAATCTTGTTTTATAAAGCAAGATAGCCTCCCCAACAATTATGAAAAGCAAAAACAATTAAATTACCTACTCAGCCTCTTTGCAATCTGAGTCTATTGATTCTTTAGCTTTCCTCAATATGTGAGTAATTTAATGGTACCATTTTAATATGCTCTAAAAACATAAAGAAAACAAGTGTATATGGAAGCCACAGTCTTGAACCAGAAAACACATTTCCAAATTTTACTTGTTTTGCACGTTTACTATATCTATTTAAAATTGACTATATTAATTCTCTTCATGATCATGGAGAACACATCTAGAGACAGATTAGTTTGTAATTCAAGTATTTTAATGTACCCTTTACCATCATTATTCATATACAAAAATAATATTTTCCTTCCCTGTTGAAAGAATAACTAACCACAATATTCAACATTACCTTTGTAATCAAATATACATTTATACAGCTAAAGGCTTTTCAGCTGACCAAGATAGTTGGTCAAAGGAGCGCTTTGGTACTGAATTGCACATATAATTATATTAGCCATTCAATTTTTATTCATTATAAATGTCTGCAATAACACCCTTAGACACAGAGACACCAAACAAGAAAAACAATCTCTAGCTTCATTTATTATTTGCCTTCCCGGAGTAAATTTCATTTGGGCAGAAAATATAGAGTAATAGTTCATATGCACTTGAGGTTGGAATGCAGAGAAAATCTCCCTGCTTTTTATTAATAATAGCTTCTAGGTTTGAGGGTTATTGAAGGCATACTATTTCTTCCATCTTCAGACAGAGGTGAGAGATCCATTAACCGGTACATGCCTCAGTTAATGTAACACACATCATCTGGATACCAGAATATTTAAATATTTCTGAGGTAGCAGCAAAATACCAAAGCATTTATAAACTTAGGATACCTACTCTCAAAACCTCACTTCTTAAAAATATAATTGTGTACTGATTGGTAAAATGAGTTAGATTTGATGTAATATAAAACAGATGCCTTTCATTAAACATGGAAAATCTGTAATATATTTTCAAGCACAAGAGGATGAATGCATTTATTTAATACTGTGTATTAAAAATAGGTTTCAATGGCCGTGAAAGGAAGAGAGAAAGGAAGTAACAAAGGAAGCATTATTTCCAAAGCCACAAAGTGAAGGACATAGGATAAATATTCATTTTCCATAAAGTATTTTTGTGGAGAGTAAGACTAAAGAAAATAATAAGATAATTCACAGACCATCAGAAAAATCTTAAGAGCAAGGTTATATGAGGAAAAGAAAGAAAAAAATAGAAATAAAATTGCTAGGGAACATAATGAAAGGGAGATTATGGATTGTTAATCTTCTGGCAACTTAGTAAGAAGGACAGTGCACCCTACCAAGAAAGAAGCAAGTAAAACTTCGAATGTATAGAAAAATGTTGGCAGTCTTTGGCTGAGTTAATGATGAAGGAGGCTGCCAGGACACAAATTTCACGTTAAATTCATTACACCTTAGAAACCTGGAAGGAAGGTGTTCCCAAGAAAGCTAGGATTAAAGTTAGACTTTGAAATAGGGGGCTAAAGGCAAGACACATAGGAACCTAAAAGAGAAATTGACAACTGAAAGGAATTGAAAAGTCAATGGATGGGATTTATTTATTCAACAAATATAATTAAATAAACACTCTCAGGGATAAAGTAAACCCTAGAGAATGTCACTTATAGCAGGGCAATTAGAAGACTAGACAGAGAGATAAAATATCTTAAGTAAATTTCTCAGGAAAATATTATGAAAGAATAGAAGCGGGCTCCCTGAAGATAATAGTAGGTTTGGGAGGAGAGGGTAACCTAATTATGTGGCCTTGCTTGAGTTGGGCCTAGGGTGAATGTAAAAGTGGGTTAGCTAGGTGACTGTGAGGATGGAGGGAAGTATATTTCAATGGGCATAGCAAAAGCCAGAGGTTTATAATGTGTGGTTCTGTATCAGCAGCATCAGAATCACCTGGGAACATGGCAATAAAAATTCTCAATTTATGATACCTAATGTAGACCCGCTGAATCAGAAGTTTTGGAAGCTAGGTCCCAGGATCTGTTCTAAAAAGCTGACCCTGTGATTCTGACATTGGCTAACATTTGACTCCCAGTGACACAAGCAAACAGCTAAAAACACTGAAGAACATCTGCCCATCACACACATTACATTTTAACAAATTACCTGCCTTTTAATTTTATGCATGGTTTAATTACATGTATTTTTAAATTGAATAATTTAACATTTTGAATACAAAATTCTCACAAAGCAAAATCCCACATACATGTGACATAGATCAAGAAATAAAATGTTGCCAGCGTTCTCAGATATTTACTCCTCCCCCTTCTCAGTAAATATGCCCCAACGATAAAAACCAATCTGAATTTTTAAATTTTAGTTTTGTTTTCCCTCATTTAATTTTTATGTGGGTGAGGATTATGCAGTATATTCTCTATTCTCTTTATCCTTTTTCTATTTATAGGATGTTTGTGTGATCATGTTGTGTTTAGTTTTAGCAATTATTTCTATTGTCATGTGCTTTTTGACTGAATGAACATATCAAAATTATATATATGTTATAATGATGATGGACAGAATTTAGGTAATTTTAAGTTTGGAGTTATTATGAATGATGCTACCATAAGCTTTCTTGCACTTGTCTGTTGTTCCTTTGTAGGATGTACACATAAACATACATATATACATATGTGTGTATATATGTATATATATATATGTCTCTCTATATAGAGAGAGGCTTTTTGGTCCTGATTTATGTATTTGTTAAATGTTATTAAATGATAACACATTGTTTCCAAAGTGATTGTTCCAACTTACCCTCCTGTTAGATGTGTAGGATATTTCCTGTTGCTTCATATGAACACATTACTCTGTGGGTCACAGATGTTTATTTCAGCCACTCTGGCAATTAGGTAGCAGCAGTTTTTTTGTTTAATTTTATGTTTATTGATGATATAAAAGCTTTGCATGTTTATTGGGCATTTGCATTTTTTCTATGTGAAGTGTATTTTTCTTATTAAATTTCTTTCCTATTGAGTATGAATGTAACTTACTATATTCACAGATTTTCTAAAATTTTCAGTATTAAAGTGGATCCAATTTGGTTCTGTTTATTGCTACATGTCAATACTAATAAAATGTAATTGCTCATATTTCTTTTAAGATTCTTCCAACTTTAGTCAGTCATGGGACTAGAATTAAATATGGTACATTGTAAGTATTTGTATCAAGTTACAATAACTTCTTGAGATTAGATTGGAAGCTTTATTTATTTTCCATGCTCTAAAAATGTGCTACTCAGTATAGAACCACAAGCCATGTGGCTATTGAGCACTTGAAATTTAGTTATTTCAAAGTTAAATATGCTATAAGCATAAAATACAGACATACATTGTTTTCTTGTGCCTTGCTGTAATGTGCTTCACAGATACTTCAATTTCTACAAATTGAAAGTTTGTGGCAATCCTGAGTCAAGCCGATCTATCAGCACCAGTTTTTCTAACACCATGTGCTCACTTTGTGTCTCTGTCACCTTTTGGTAATTCTCACAATATTTCAAACTTTTTTATTGTTATATCTACATGGGGCTCTGTGATCATTGATCTTTGATGTTACTATTGTAATTGCTTTGGAACACCACCAACTGCATCGATATAATACGGAAAACTTAGTAGATAAATGTCGTGTGGTTCTGATTGCTTCCAACTGACCGTTCTGCTTTCTCTCCCCCTCTTCTCATGTCTCCACAGTCCCTGAAACACAACAATATTGAAATTAGACCAATTAATAGCCCTACAATGGCCTCTAAGTGTTTCAGTGAAAGGAAAAGTCACACATCTCTCAATTCAAATGAGACATGTATGTTTGTAGAAAGAAGCTTAATGAGGAAATCATGTGGAAAGCTCAGATAGCCCAGAAGCTAGGCCTTGTGCTCCTAACAGTTAGCCAAGTTGTGAATGCAAAGGAACAATTCTTGAAGGAAATTAAGAGTGCTACTATAGTAAGTACATGAAAGTTAAGAAACCTAAAGAGCCTTATTGTTGATATGAAGAAAATGTTAGTGGTCTGAATAGAAGACCAAACCAGCCACAACATTTCCTCAAGCCAAAACCTAATCCAGAGCAAGACTCTAGCTCTCTTCAATCTATAAAGGCTGAGAGAGGTGAGGAAGGTATAGAAGAAAAGTTTGAATCTAGCAGAGATAGACTCATGAAATTTATGGAAAAAAGCTACTTCCATAACATAATAGTGCAATGTGAAGCAGGAATTCCTGATCTAGCTAAGATTATTGATGAAGGTTGTTATACCAAACAACATATTTTCAATGTGAAAAAAAAACAGCCTAGTATCAGAAGATAGTGCCACCTAGGACTTTCACAGCTAGAGAGGAAAAGTCAATGCTGACTTTAAACCTTCAAAGAACAGACTGCTTCTCTTGCTAGGGGTTAATGCAGCTGGTGAATTTTAGTTGAAGCCAATGCTCATCTTCCATTCCAAAAATCCTAGGTTCCTTAAGAAAGATGCTAAATTTACTCTGCCTGCCCTCTAGAAATGGATGAACAAAGTCTGAATGACCACACACCTGTTTACAGCATAGTTTAGTGAATATTTTAAGCCCACCATTGTGACCTGCTGCTCAGGAAAAAAAAAATATTCCTTTCAAGATATTACTGCTCAGTGACAATGCAACTGATCACCCAAGAGATCTGATGGAGTTATACAAGGAGATAAATATTGTTTTCATAACTGCTAACATGGCATCCCTTTTGTAGCCCACCAATAAAAGAATATTTTTACTTTCAAGTCTTTTTATTTAAGAAATGCTTTTTGTAAGGCTATAGCTTCCATAGACAGTGATTCCTCTGATGGATCTAAGCAAAGTCAATTGAAAGCTTTCTGGAAAGAATTCACCATTCTAGATGCCATTAAGAATATTTGTGATTCATTAGAGGAGATCAAAATGTCAACAATAACAGGAATTTGGAGGTAGTAATTCCAACCTTCATGGGTGACTTTGAGTGGTTTAAAACAACAGTAGAAGAAGCAACTGCAAATGTAGTGGAAATAGCAAGAACACTAGAATGAAAAGTGGAGCCTAAAGAGGTGAATGAATTGCTGCCATTTCGTGATACAACTTTAATGGATGAAGATTGTTTCTTACGAATGAGCAAAGAAAGTGGTTTCTTCAAATATAATCTACTCCTGGTGAGGATGCTGTGAACATTGTTGAAGTTACAACAAAAGATTTAGAATATTACATAAATTTGGTTGGTAAAACCAAGTGCAGGGTTTGCGAGGACCAACTTTAATTCTGAAAAAAGTTCTATTGTGGGCAAAATGCTCTCAAATGGCATTGCATGCTACAGAGAAATATTTCATGAAATGAAAGCTTGTTGTCTTATTTTAAGAAATTATCACAGCTTCTCCAATCTTTAGCAACCACCACCCTGATCCATCAGTGACCATGAACATTGAGGAAAGAATTCCATCAGCAAAAATATTAGGATTTGCTGAAAGCATGGATGATTGTTAGCATTTTCTGGCAATAGAGTATTTGCAAATTAAGGCATGTACATTGTTTTCCTCAGATATGAAGTTATTGCACACTTAATAGATTATAATATAGTGTAAACATAACTTTCATATGCATTGGGAAGCCAAAACATTTGTGTGACTTGCTTCAGATTGATATTGACTTTATTGTAGTGATCTGGAAACCTACCTGCAATAGCTCCAGGATATGCCTGTATGCACTTTACCACTTTGGTTTTCAAAAACTTAGTATAAACAAAATTTAAAATATAATGTTAATAATGTTTTATATTGATAATGTGTTATGATAATTTTATTTTGGATATATTGAGGTACATTACATATTATTAAAATGAATATTACTTGCTTTATTTTTTAAAATGTGATGACTAGAAAATTTAAAATCGCATGTGAAATATTCTGTTTCTCTTGAATGGAGCTGTTCTAGAACATAATGAACAAAATTGTACAGATTACACAGGTTTTAAAGAATCAAAATTTAGGCTCAATGTGTTTTTGGAGGTTAATTCTCTGATTTTTTTTTGATAAATTATATTTTGTTATTGGTGTTTTCAACCACTATAAATTTATTTGTGTGAATTTTTGTACATGTTTAGATTGCAATTCTACTAGAACAGAATTGTTAATCATTCTCTTGTATTTTCAGTCTTTTAAAACACATATAATCAAATTATAAAATTTCTATTTTAATATTCTTAATGAGGTGTAGATATGTTCTCTCACTTTTTAAATAAGAACTACTAAAGGACTGATTGCTTTATTTGTTTTTTAAAGCCTCGTGTTTGGGTTTATACATCCGTAAGTTATACATTTATATTTTATTCACCTTCCAATAGCTCTGCTCCTGAAAAAAAAATGACTGCCTTATTTTTCAACTTTTCTTTTGAATATTAACTCTTCATATACCTGGTTTATTTTCTCATTCTCCCAGAGAAATGACTAAATCTGCATGGTATTAGGGGTTGAGGTGCTTTCAGCCAGAGATTAGGCAAGCCCCTGATCAAAGCTTTAAGGCTTTGATGAAACATGAAAATAAAATTAGATGTAGAGAGGCTTCACTGTCCAACCACAATTGGAGGTTCGCTTATTGTGGCTTGAGACCATACTTTTAGTATTCATGACAGATTTTTTCTCTTTATTTCTTCTAAAAAAATGGGATACATGTGCAGAACGTGAAGGTTTGTTACACAGGTATACGTTTGTCATGATGGTTTGCTGCACCTATTGACCCATCCTCTACGTTCCCTCCCCTCACCTACCAACCCCCAACAGGTCTCTGTTTCCATGTGTTCTCAATGTTCAACTCCCACTTATAAGTGAAAACATGTGGTGTTTGGTTTCCTGCTCCTGTGTTAGTTTGCTAAGGATGATGGCTTTCAGCTTCATCTATGTCCCTGCAAAGGACAAAGGACATGATCTCATTCCTTTTTATGGCTGCATAATATTTCATGGTGTTTATGTACCACATTTTCTTTATCCAGCCTATCATTGATGGGCATTTGGTTTGGTTCCATGTCTTTGCTATTGTAAATAGTGCTGAAATAAACATATGTGTGCATGTGTCCTTATAGCAGAATAATAGGAATGCTTTTACAGTGTTATTGGAAATGTAAATTAGTTCAACCATTGTGGAAGACAATATGGCAATTCCTCAAGGATCTAGAACCAGAAATACCATTTGACAGGTCTTCTCTGTATTACTTTTTGTTTACATCATTTTGATTGTGTTGCTCAAAATTACTTTTCTAACTGGAAATGTAGTTTTTCTACTAGGAATACTTGAATTTATTAAATAGGAACTTAGGCTGGTATGTACAACGTAGTCCCATGTAGCCTAACCTAAAATTGCACAACAGGATATGTAACATATGCATATTTTTCCAAAAATTATACCTCACAGTCTGTTTTGAATTCTACCACACCATTCTCATATCATAATTCAGTGCTCTGGGAGCCCTCTTTATTTCAGTCTCCTGCTTCTTCAAATTAAGAGATGTGAATGGATTTATTTTAGGGGCCATATCTATTTGCTCCCCATGTGCTTTTTGTTGTTGGTATTCTATGCATGATTTACATGTTTTTAGGTACTTTCTTAAATCCAGTATTGCATTTTGGGCTTCTGGCAGCCATTCCTCGAAGTTTCTGACGAATAATGTAGAGATGGAATGTTTCTAGACTATCCTCCTTGTGCCTCAGTCACCTTGCTTATAATAGGCATAACGACAATATCTACTTTATAAAAGTTGCTGCATTATTACATATAAAGGGCTTAAAGCACTGTGTGGTTTATTAAAGACATAGATGAAAAGCAATATAACAATCATTCTTATGCATTTATGTGTAATCTTTGCTTTCATACTACAAGAGCAGAGTTGAATAATCCAAGAGACCTGATGGCCCACAAAGCCCAAAATAATTACTATCTGCTTCTTTAGAGAAAAAAAATTGCAGATCCATACAATGGAGGAATATATTGGGTTTTAATCTCCTTGCAATAGGTTGTGTGCTCAATCCTAGTAATTTAAGTGGAAGAGCTGAGTGGTGAGAGTCACACATTAGAAACTTAGCAAAGTCAGTACTTTTAACTGCTAAACTTTCATATCCTGCATGGCCAAAACTGAATTAATAACAAGATAATAACTTTACTTAAATGGTATTTGTTAAGGTAAATTAGGCTCAATGTGTTTTTGGAGGTTAATTCTCTGATTTTTTTTGATAAATTATATTTTGTTATTGGTATTTTTGACCACTATAAATTTATTTGTGTGAATTTTTGTACATGTTTAGATTGCAATTTTACTACAACTTTACAATGAATACTACTACAATGAATACTACTACAGCTTTACAATGAATAACTTAAAATAATTATTTTGTTTATCTGAAATGCCAAACTAGCAACTTTTTACATAATTACTTTTACCATGGATGAATAACTGAGTATTTTCATTAAATGTTCTTTCTTATTTTGGAGCAATTCTTTGTCTTGGCAAACTCTTAAAAATGTAATCAAACATAGGTAAACAAGTTAGCTGTCTTTCTTCAATTTTCTTGTATTTATTTCTTCTGTCACTTTTCAAGTTCTTGAACAGAGCTCCTAGCAACCATTTCTTTCTCTCCCCATAGAAATGAAAGGCAAATTATCATCCTACTTGGTGATGTCTTTGTGTTGCCTATCCTAAGAGTATAATAGCTTCATTCTTACAGGAAAGTAGACTAAAACGAACTTGAGTGAATAAAATACTCAACTAACTGCAGTGCGTTATTTTACACAGAATTGCTTCGGAAATTTTTGACACTTCATCAGAGGACTGACCAAAAGAATTTACTGAAATTGTAATAAAACATAATGGTCTAAAATAATCTTTTATTCATTGTGATTTTTTTATGGATATATGCACATTGTTAGGATAGCAGAGCTAGTTTGTTTTATAGAAGCCCCATTATGATTTCTACTAAAATAAAAATTACTTAGATAATTTTAATAGCGTTGCTGCTTAAATATTTTACTTCAAATTATTTGGGTTATGTCTGTATGTTTGTACATGTGTGTGTATGAGAGAGAGATAGAGACTTTTTTGAGATAAAAATGATAATAACTTACACTTGGAGAATTGTTTCTTTATCATGAACATCTTTTAATAAATGGCTCCTTATTTATGCCACACTTACTATTACTATGAAAAATGTACTGTACTCTTATAGCAAACCCACACTATGTATTTTTTGTATTTAGATAAACTTTTAAGCATTCTACTCCAAGAATATAACCCTGTCTCATTTTTCAAATTTGTTCCTTCTAGGATTCCAAATTCTGTTGGTTTTTCATTCCCTCAAACAACAAAGACTATTGAGCCTTTACCATACTTTCATTATTTCCTCCTTGTGATGCCTTTCTCTTCTTGTGCAATTAAATTATATGGTGTGTCATTACTACCACTTTTTCACATTCTCAATTTCTTGTTCCTCTCTCCTCGCGTTGTAACCCCCTGCAAAATTACAAACCTGTTAAATTTATCTCTACTTATTAATTTGTTTGCAGTAAAATATACATGGAACCATGCTACCTGGTCTCATATATTCACTAATTGCAAGGAGTTCGTAGACACTGCCCATAAATTTTGATAGGTTTTTCTAATGTGTGCATTTTTTTCTCTCAATATGCTAAGCAACCATTTATTACGTCTCTTCCTTGCTCAAACTTCCACCCCTTTCATTAGACTTCATTTTTGTCTTTGCTTCATATTTTAGTAAACAGCAGAAACAATCAGAAAAAGAGATCTCCAGGCTCTGCCTGGATGCCACCAGTTAACTTGATTCTTTGCCCATCTATTTTTGTCTTTTCTCCTGTTATATTGATGTCTCTTACCTGATAATCCCTTTACCGGTGGGCGGGATTCCATGTGTCACTCTACCTTACCTATAGACATTAATCTAGAATCTGTCCCCTTTATTGCATTCATTATCAATTTTCTTTCTCTAGTTAAGCATCCCATCTGTTCACAAATATGACCTGACAACCTCTAAGACCTCCCTAGTTGCTACTTCATACCACTGTACTTCATACAACTCAGAAGAGATATTTGGATCAATGCTTCACAAATTTTTATTTACATATGAATCATGTGGGACTCTTGGTTAAATTGGATTTGCCTTCAGTTGGTCTGGAGTGCATTTCTAATGAGATACCAGGTGAAATCTTGATTCTACTGGTTAAGGGACCATCCTTTGAATTGCCAGGAATTATATACTACCTCTTTCCATTTTTATTCTTCTCATTTCCTCTTGAACCTATGCAACTAATGTTTATCCCCACTATACCATAGAAACAGTTCTACTAATGTTTATTAAATCGCCATTGCTAAATTTAATCTTTAATTAATTCAGTCTAATTCTTCATCTTTTATAAACCATTTGCAGTATTTGACAAATTTTGTATTTTTAAAACATCACACTCTTGTTTCTCCTACATTCCCCCTTCCTTGGTTGTTCTTTCTTAATAACTTTTCAGGTACCTTCCCATCTTTATATTTTCTATACACTGAAGTGCACATTCTATACATTGATAGCACAACTCTGCTATAGTAACATTAAATATCAGTGTTGTCATCTCTCTCTCCATTTTTTCCCTAAAGGATCATACCTGTTCTCTTGGCTTTAAATACTATCCTCATACAGGCAAATCTCAAATATTTATCTTCACTTATGACCTCACCCCGGAAACTGCAGATCACTCTAATTAACTGCCTATAAACCAACCTCACTTGGATGTGTAATAAATATCTTGAAATTAACATATCTAAAAGTGATTCTGATTTCTTCCCTTAAATTCTTTTTCCTTATCTTAGAAAAGATTAATCCTTTCTTTCTGGTTACTTACATAAAAAAAAAAGATTAAATCTTCCTTTTCCTTTTCCTTCACTTTAAATCCATCAACAAATGTAGATGACTGTACTTTCAAAATATATTTAGAGCATGATTTTTTTCTCACTGTCTTCTTCACTAGCATCCTAATCCAGTCTCTATAATTCCATTACTGCAATACTGCAGTAGTCTAAAATCTTGTCTCTCTGCTTTCCTTCTTGGACATCTACAGGCTACTTGTGAAGAAATATTTTGAAAATGTGAAATCATGCCACTATTTAGAACAAAATGCTCCATAATCTTTCCATAGAATCTAAAAGCAGTAAATGCCAGAATTCCTGAAATAGTTTATTACATCCTCGTCTGAGCTCATCTCCATACCCATACAATTGTTGACTCAGTCTCTTAGCTTTCGTTCTGTTTCTTGAATACCTAAGCATGCTCTCAACTCAAAGTCTTTGCATTTGCTGTTTTCTCTGTTGATATGCTCTTTATTTATTCATTTACTTGTTTTTTCACCAAATATTTATTGAGAATCTATTGTGGGGTAGCAGCATTCTATTTGCTTGTAATAAATCAGCCAACAAAACAAACAGAATTACCTGCCCAAGTAGAGCTTATATTTAAATGAAGGCAACAAATTATATACACAAATCCTTATATAATATATTATTTTAGAACATTATCTGAACTGAAAAATGTAAATACAACAAGATGTGGGAAGTTGGTGTTCACATTATTCCTTTTTTTTTTAAGACAAAGTCTCCCTCTGTCGCCCATACTGGAGTGCAGTGGCGCAATCTCGGCTCACTGCAAGCTCTGCCTCCTGGGTTCTAGCAATTCTTCTGCCTCAGCCTTCCGAGTAGCAGGGGTTACAGGTGCCTGCCACCATGTCTGGCTAATTTTTGTATTTTAGTAGAGACGGGTTTCACCATATTGGCCAGGCTGGTCTCGAACTCCTGACCTCATGATCGGTGCGCCTCAGCCTCCCAAAGTGCTGGGATTATAGGTGTGAGCCACAGCACCTGGCCCACTTTGCTCTTAAACAACCTATCCACAGGACTCATTCCATTATTTCTATAAATCTTAGATATTCCTTGCATCTTTGAGGCTGCACAATGTGCCCCCTCTCTTAAGTACTCTTCTTAGAAATCCTTTTACTGATTTATTTTTCTTAACATCATTTATTACTAGTAAATGTACTATATAATTAATTGATTATATGTATTTTAAATGTGTTCTATTTCCTTGTAAATTCATGACTTCATGAGGTCAAAATCTATTTTGTACATTGCTATAATCCAAGTATATAGAATATTTCTTGACATATAATCAGTGTCAATAGACACATTATTCTAAATTAATTAAAGTATTATTTTAATTGCTTCATAGCTGTGATGAAGAATATTTTACATAAGAAAAAGTCTGATATCTTAATTTGGGGGTCTAGGCATATATGATCATTTTCTTTTCATCAAACATTCCATTAAAATAAACAAATATGGTGTTTCTGAAGCATAACATGGAGACCATTATCAGACTTTTTATTCAGGGATTCTGGGGAAATTGAGAAGTGATGGGATCAGGTAAATTAAAAATCCAAGGCACAGAAAATCACATCTTAAAATGTGCACAACAAAATGCTTTCACCTCAGAAAAAGCAGTTCTCCCCATTTTGAAATCTTGGGGTCAAGCTTATGAGGATGGATCACTGCAAGAGCTCTTAGATATGGCACTAAAAGCACAACTCATAAAAGAAAAACTAAATAGATAAATCAGTGTTCATAAAAATAAACTATTTTTTTCTAGAAATACCATGTTAAGAAGATTAAAAGACAAGTGATAGGCTTGCAAACCACATATATGACAAAGGACTCATATATAGATAACAGAAAGTCATCTCAAAACTCAATACCATGAAAATCCAAAAATCTCAATAAATAATAGACAAAAAATACAAGGAGAAAATTCACTGAAGAAGCTATAAGGATAGCAAATAAGTACATGAAAAGATGTTCAATGTCACTGACCATGAGATAAATGCAAATTAAGGCCACAATAATATGTTGCTACATACCTATTAAAATAGCTAAAATAAAAAAATGATAACACGAAATGCTGGTGCATATGAGGAGTAACTAAATCTCTTATACATTGCTGTGGAAAATGTAAACTAGTACAGCCACTTTGGAAAACAATTTGACAGTTTCTTTAAAAACTATACATGCCTTAACCATATGACCCAGCAAATCCTAGTAGGATAAAAATTTACTTTCACACTGAAGCCTATATATTAATATTCGTGGTAGCTTTATTTGTGTCTTAGTCAGTTTAGGCTACTATAACAAATTAACACAGATTAAGTGGCTTAAACATTTATTTATCACAGTCCTGAAGGCTGGGCAATAGAGATCAAGGTCTCAGAAGATCTGTTGCCTGGTAAGGCACACTTCATGGTTTGTCAATGGCTGTCTTTTTGTTGTATCCTCACATGGTAAAGAGCTGAGAGAGGGATAGCAAGCTATCTGATTATTATAAGGGTACTAATCTTATACATGAGAGCTCCACTGTCATAATCTAATTACATCCCAAAATTCCCACCCCAAATCTATTGTATTGAGGATTAGGTTTCAACATAATATGTGGGGGACACAAATTTTCAGTCCCTAGCAATTTGTAATAGTGAAAAACTGGAAACAATAAAAGTGTCCTTCAATAAGTGAATGGTTAAACAAACTGTGGTACATTCATACCAGATACTACTATTTACCAATTAACCGAAAAAAAAAAAAAGACGTATTGGTGCACATAAGAGCTTTAATGTATCTCAAGGGCATTATAACAAGAGGGACAAAAAAGACAATTCCAAAAAGTTACATATTGTATGGTTTCATTTAAAGAACATTATCAAAATAGTTCAACTATAGAGATGGAGAAAATCGATGGTTGTCAGTGATCAGGAAATGGTAGAGGGCAGAGAAGTGGGTAAGATTATAACGGGGTAGCATGAGAGAGATCTTTGTAATCATGGAATGGTTCACATTTTTATAGTGGTGATTACCTCAATCTACACATGTGATGAAATGACATAGAACTATACCCAAATATTATGCTAATGCCAATTTTCTAGTTTGATATAGTGTTATAGTTACATAAGATGTAAACATACTCAGGATTTCCTGGTATTAACTTTGTAATTTTCTATGAATCTATTACTATTTCAAAATGAAATGTGAAAAATCACACATTTCACTGTTTACTATGTTACCCAATGGATTACTTTGGAAACTGCCATGACAAATATACACACAGGATATATTTATACATTGGGAGAATTTTGTTTGTTTCTGGAAGAAGCCAAATAAAATGCATTTGTTTTTGTATATTTTTATATTCAACATGTGATGTTGAACAACATTTTATCTGAGAGTAGAAATATTGGTCTAGTACTAACAATCAAATGGTATTTGAGTCTTCTATTTTTTGTACAGAATTAATCTGGGCAAGTATTGCTGTGAAAAGAGCATGGAATTATTATGGGATTAGGTGGTATGCAGTTTTTAAAATTATCAATCTTCCATTAATTAACCAGATGTGTGACATGTGGCAAATTGCTTAACATCTAGAAAAATTAGTTTCTTTTAAATAAAATAAAATGAAAATATAAAACTCATTTATTTTACTTAACATAATATCCACCATTTCCATCCTTCTCACAAATAGCAGAATTTAATTATTTTATATGGCTGAATAGTATACTATTTTGTATATAGTTAACATTTTCTTTATCCATTCTTCCATTGTTGAACACTTAGGTTGATTCCATTTTTTGGCTATTATAAATCATGCTGCAATAAACAGGGGGTAAAAATATCTCTTTGGTATACTGACTTCAATTCCTTTTGGAGATATACATCATGTTAATTGAAATAGGCCAGACACAGAAACACAAAAACTGCAAAAACTTCATGATCTCACTCATAAGTGAAATCTAAAAAAAAAAAAAAAAAGCTAGTATCATAGAAGTAGGACAGTGGTTACTAGAGACTGGGGAGGGGAAGGAAGAGGGAAAATGGGTAGAGGTTTGTCAACAGGTACAAAGTACAATGAGATAAGAAGAAGAAGTATTGCTGTTTGATTGCACAGAGTGACTATGCTTAAGTAAGGTGCTATATATTACAAAACGGCTAGAAGAGATGGTTTTGAATGTTCTTGCCACGAATAAATGATAAAGGCATGAGGTGATAGATATACTAACTATCCCGATTGGATCATTATACCACATGGGTATGTTTCAAAATGTCAAATTATACTCAATAAATATGTACCATTACAATGTGTCAACTAAAATAAAACTGGGTAAGAATAGACCTCTATAAATTTCAGGTTTTGTTTTAAGAATTTTATCAAATCTTTATGGATGTAAGCACTATGGAAATGCCAAGAATTACATACTTATAAGGTAGTATCATTCAAACAATGTTTTACTATAATTTCAAATAATATTTATGTCTAATTAAGTACCACTAAACATCTAATCAAATATCAATATTTGATTATTTAAAAGGAAAACATTATGTTAATGTATCATAACATGGAGAAATACATATTTACTCTTTGTATGATCAAAATAAATGCTTATATATTAATAAATATCCACAAATTAAAGGTTGAGTTGTTTTCAAATAATAATGTCAATGGTGTGGTCACTGAACATTTTATACTGCCTTTATGACTGTCTGTTTTACAAACTGACACAATCCAAAATCCAAATGAGTTAATATTATATAATCTAAGCAGTGTTTTCTGGCTAGTAAGTTGTCACTAAGTAACTTAATATTTTGTAGATAAGTATTTCTTGATGCTCCTCTTCACATAGTAATAAATGAGTTGGATATAAGAAATTTTTCAATAAATATGTTGTTTACTAAAAACTCTTGCACTATATAGTGATTTGGATGAAAATGGTTATAAACTTGAAGTACGAATACCTTAATTTTCAAAGTCCACGTATATCATTTTTAGCTAGGAGTCAGATGTCTCCCTTTTCAGTTTTTTCTAACATGTATCAATTGTCCAAAGCCTTACTCAAGGTAAGAGGAGTAAAAGAGTAAAATTTGTTTTCAAAATCTAGAAGTTCACAGAGATGGCAAGGCCTGTCAGCCTACTACTGCAGTTACGTTTTAATGTCACTATGGTGTGCCTAATGACAGCACATTGAACAGATTGACAAGTATTTGTTAACTGTGAAGTGAAACACCTGCTGATCCAAGTTCTATACAAGCTGCAGTGGGTACCCCAGGCTTGGGCCTTAATAATACTAGTTTGTTAACTCTATTTGCATAATCTTAGTAGGGTGGGGACTAAGGGGAGGCAAGTGACTTGCCTAGGAAATCAAGTTTAAAGAGGCACTTGCTTTCACATCCCTTCAAGTGCCAAACCTCACTGTACAACTCTGCTGTTGATAGTGTATTGACAAATAGGCATGGCAAGAAAATTAGTCTTAATAAATCTAAAGGAATACAAATCATATCATATATGTTCCTCAACCCTCACAAAACTAATTAGAAATTAACAACAGAATTGTTTCTAGAAATCTTCACATATCTGGAAATTATTATAAACAACATATTTCTGAAATAACCTGAGAGTAAAGAAGAAAAAAATAACATGGAACCATATGAAAAATTATGAAATGTAGCTAAGACAGTGCTTAGCTAAAACAGTGCTTATACTGTGCTTAAGTACTTATAACAGTGCTTATAGTTCCAAGTTTCTACACCAGAAAAAGAACTCTCAAATCAATATTTTAAGCTTCAGCCTTAAATAAATGGAAAAAAACCACATTAAATGCAAAGCATACAAACAAAAGAGGACAGTAAGATTTGCACAGAAATCATTAAAACTTCTTAGAGAAAATCAATGAAACAAAAAAATTGATTTTTGAGGAAAACGAAATGGACAAATCTTTAGTCGGAATGAACAAGGAAAAAATACAAGGAAAGACACAAGTAAATAAAATAAGCATTGGAAGTGAGGACTCATTAATGACCGCTCAAACTTTAAAAGATTATAAGGAGATATTATGAACAACATTAGGCCAACAAATGTGACGACTTAGAGGAAATGAATAAATTCTTAAATATATGTAAATTACTAACAGTGACTCAAGAAGAAATGGAAAATTCATATAGACCTGCCAGATATTTAAGAGATTAGTACCAATCCTCGATAACTGGCACTAATCTCTTAAAAGAAGAGAAAAGGAAAAAAGAGAAGAGAAAGGAACACTTTTGAAGTCATGCTATCAGGCCAGTATTACCCTCATACCAAAACCAAAGACAAAGCTGCCACAAGAAAACTAAAGACCAATATCACTTATGAATAAAGATAGAAAATCTCCACCAAAATATAAGCAAATTGAATCCAATCACATATAAACATATTTTTTTCTATCCTGATAAAGTACGATTTTTTCCCCAGGATTCAAGATAAGTTTGATATCTGAAAGTCAATTAATGTAATATACCATATTAATATAATAAAGGACAAAGCCTACATAATCATCTCAATAGTTGCAGGAAAAACATATCACAAAATCTAACACCTATTCATTATAAAAACTCTCAACAAATTAGAAATAGAAACACAATCCCTCAGCCTGATAAAAAGCATCTATGACAAATGTCCAGGGAACACCACATTAAAGGTGTCAGGCTGACAGCTTTTCTTGGAAGAATTGGGAACAAGACTATGATATCTACTTTCACCATTTCTATTTAACACTGGAACATAGGAAGTTCCAGGCTATTTGTTAGACATACACACACACACACACACACACACACACACACACACACACACGGACTTATTAGTTGAAAGGAAAGCAGTAAAACTGTCTTTATTCACAAATGACATGATCTAATATGTAGAAAATCCTAAGGAATCCCCCCAAAGAACTACTAGCACTAGTAAATGGGTTTATACCGTTTTCAGACTACAAGCTAACATATACAAGTAATTTGCCTTTCTGTATATTAAAAACAATACTTCAAGGCCGGGCATAGTGGCTCACGCCTGTAATCCCAGCACTTTGGGAGGCCGAGACGGGCAGATCATGAGGTCAGGAGTTCGAGACCAGCCTGGCCAACATAATGAAACCCCATCTCTACTAAAAATACAAAAATTATCTGGGCATGGTGATGCATGCCTGTAGTCCCAGCTACTTGGGAGGTTGAGGCAGGAGAATCACTTGAATGCAGGAGCTGGAGGTTGTGATGAGCTGAGATCATGCCACTGCACTCCAGCCTGGGCAACACAGCGAGACTATGACTGAAAAAAATAAATGAATAAAAATAAAATTCAAAAATAAAATTAAGAAAGCAAGTCTAGTTACATGACCTTCAAAATGCTTAGATATGAATTTAACAAATAAATGCAAGACTTTAACATAAAGCTATGCAACAATGCTGAGAGAAATGCAAGAATAGCCAAAGAAATGGAGATACATTGCATATTCATCGATTGGAATTCAATCTTGTTGGGATGGAAATTTTTCCCAATTTTATCTATTGATTTAATAAAATTCCTATAATATTCCAGCAGGCTTCTGTGTAGAAATTGACAAGCTCATAGAAAAATTTATAGGAAACTATAAAAAGAATCCATAGCATAGCCAAAAATATTTTTGGAAAAAAAGATGGAAAGGTTGAATGACTACCCAATTTCAAAACCTACTATATAGCTATATGCATTATGTATTTATCTGGTCAATGGGTTATTGCACATAAAAAGGCATATAAATCAGGAAAAAAATAGATATGCCAGAAATCAACTTTCTTGCATATCTATGTGCAACTTTATTGCACATAAAAAGGCATATAATAGGTCAGTTTTAACAGTTTTTAAACAAACAAACAAAGAAATGAGGGAAGGACAGTCTTAAAAGAAAAAAGTGTCATAACAATTGTATGTGTATATGTGAAACATATAAGCTAAGTCGTTATCCCACACCATATAAAAAATAAACTCAAATGGATTAGGAATCTAAACATAGGAGCTAAAATTATAAAATATATTAAAATGTCTTCATGACCTTGGGTTAGGCAAAATATTATTAGACACCAATTATATGATACCAAAATATATGACATAAAAATGACAAAATGGACTTAATTAAAGGAAAAGTAGAAAAATTGGATTTCATGAAATAAAAACTTTTGCTATCCAAATGTCAACAAGTGAGAAAATGGAAAGCCAAATCACGTATATCATAAAGGACTTTTATTCAATATATACAAAGAACTCACTCAAAAAATGCTCTCAATCATAAGAAAGCTGATAACACAATTTAAAAATAGTTAATAGATTTAAAAAGACATTTCATTTTTGAAGATATACAAATGATTAATACACATACCAGAAGATGCTAAAAATAATTAGTCATTAGTGAATGAAAATTTAAGCCTCAGTGAGATACCATTGTACATTTACTAGAATGACTATAATAAAGAAAACGGACAATATCAAATGTTGGCAAGAATGTGGAGAAACATAAATCTGACACATCACTGGTGGGAATGTTAAAATGGCACAGCTACTTTGAAAAACAGTTTAGCAGTTTCCTAAAATATTAAACATGAATTTTCCATAAAATCCAGCAATTCCACTCCTGGGATTCTTTTCAAGAAATATAAAAAAAGCATATTCCTTCGAATAATTGTATATGAATTCATGATTCATGAGAACCAAAAACTGAAAACAGATGTCCACTGAAGGATGAATGGATTAACAAAATGTATATATTGTGAATTACTCTTTAGCAATATAAAGTACCAACTACTGATATATGATACAACGTGAAAATTCTTTAAAAAAAATTGCTATGCAAAAGAAGCCAGTCGCAAAAGACCAAATACTCCATCATACCTTTCTAATGAAATGCCTGGAACTGGGCTTGGGTACAAAGATTGACTACAAAAGAGCTCTTCTTTGGGTAATGGAATTGTGCTAAAACTGTATTGTGATGATGCTTGAGTAGCTCTATACATTTGCAAAAGTTACTGTAGAATTGCAATGAATGAATTTTATAATATATAACTTACACTGCAATACATTTGTTAAATAAAAATATTTCATAAACTCTAGAGAAATTTTCTAGAATGTTTTGCTACATATCTATGCTCATTTCTTCTTTCCTTCCTTCCTTTTCTTTTTTTTTCTTGTGTGTGATTTTTTTAAGGTCCATTCTGTGAGGTGTCAGCAAAACCTTGTGTTTCTCTGCTTTTTTGGAAAAGAGGAATTTGCCCAAATAGCAGTTCTGCTTATACTTATGAATGCCCAAAAGGATCTTCCAGCCAAAATGGTGAAACTGATGTCAGTGAGTTTTCATTAGTACCATGTCAGAATGGTACTGACTGCATCAAAATATCAAATGTAAGTCTCAATCTAACATATAAGTGAGTGGTTTTAAATTTTTTTTACTATTACCAAGCAATTTGAAAAGAATAAATAATTAGAATCCTTATTAAGGTAGTTTAATTGTTAAACTCAGACGAACAAGAACGGTCTACTTATTTTAATTTTTCCTATTTATATAGGAAAAAACTTTGCTCTTCCATCAGTATTTTCCCTTTTAAAAGAATATAAATTTGTACACTCTTCATTTCTACTTATTGCTTTTTTTCATCTTTTAGTTATTCAATATTGTTTTACTTTAACTTTTCAATTTAACATTTAAATAAATAAGAGTAGGAAATATTTCATTAGCTCTTCTCACAAATTACTGTCTTTTCATTTTAGATTCATATTTGTCATTAATTCTTTAAAGAACCTTAAGAGATTATTTTTCCAACCTCCTAAACTTTTTGTTACTAACACTCTGAAAAGGAATTTTTTTTCCCCTGGAGAATTGTCCATTTTATCAAAAAAATTGCTGAACTTTTGCTGAGAAGAATTAGTTATATTATATAGAACATAATATACAGATAAAAGTTTATAGAAGAACATTTTTTACTCCACCTGATATTTCTTCTACAATATACAAAGATTTGTTACCAATGTACCATATACTAGACCCAAATATTTGGAGATACAAGGGCAAAGAGCAATAATACATGCTTCTTCTAAAAATCAAGGAAACTATTATTGTAGTAAGCAGACTATGTATGCCCCTCATCCTCCACCAAAAAATAAAATAAAAATAAAATAAATAAAAATGTCCATGCACTAATCCTGGGAATATGTGCATGTGTTATGTTACCCAGCAAGAGGAAATTAAGATTGCAGATGGAACAAAGGCTGCTAATCAGCTGATGTTATCTTGGATTATTTGGGTGGATCCAGTGTAATCACAAGGGTCCTTTAAAGTGGAAGAGAGAGATGGAAGAATCAGAGTCAAAGGGGGATTTGATGATGTAATGAGGCTGGTTTTAAAGATGGAGGAAGGGACCATAAATGAAAAAATGAATGCATCCTCTAGAATAAGCTAGAAAAGTCAGGGGAACATTTTCCTGTAGAGCCTACAGAAGGGACACAGCAGACATCTTGGTTTTAGCCTTCTGAAACTTTTCAGACTTATGACCTCTGGAACTCTAAGATAATGATTTTTTGTTGTTGTTGTTGCTTCAAGCTACTAAGTTTGTAAGAATTTGCTATTTAAATAAAAAGTTGTTATATAAATAGAAAACTAATACAATAATCTATCAAGAACTATTAATAGTATCGTTTAAAATGTTTTGCTTTTAAAGTTGACAATAATGAACAATTGAACACATGTTATAACTTTACTAGTTAAAAGAATCTTAATATAAGAAGCGACTTTTAGTGGATGTATGCTTAACTATTAATTCATAGAAGTACTTTAATTCTATTTTTCTTCTCTATTATTCATTATTTATATTCTCTATTTAATATTCTCATTATTTAATATTCTCTATTATTCATTAGAAGAATTATTTTGTAGATAAATTACTTGGAAAATTGTACATGTTATCATTTGTACTGCTACCATGTATGAGGTTGGGCAAGCTATATACCTCTTTCAACGTTAGTTTTGGGTTAAATTAAATAAATTTTGATTGGATTCAATGAGAATAAAAAAATCATCAATTTTAAGTATACGGGCTTTTTACCTTGGAATCTTAATAAATCTTGTTGTTCAGATAAATATGATAATGAAAATGATGGTAATGATGATGATGATAAGGATAACAAAGAAAAAAGAGAGGAAAAAATAAGGAGGACAGCAAGAGGAAGAAATATGATGATTAGGTTGTATTTTGAATGCAGGTGAAATTAACTTTTGCCCAGCAAATTTAATTTCATTTTATTTTTACCTGCCCATGGATGCATGGACTTGTTTCAGGTGCCAATGGTTTATTTTCTATGCATAGTCACCCCAAAACTTGGTGGCTTAAAATAATTATTTTATTATTATCTCTTATGGTACTGTGAGCTGACTTGTCTCAGCTAGGATATTGTTTAGAGTCCCTCTGAGGTTGCCATCGGAAAGTGTCTAGACTTGGACTTCATCTTGAAGGTTTTCTTATTCATATGTCTGGTAGTAAATGTTGGCTGTTAGCTTGGCCCAGAACTGGGCCTATTAGCCACAATCCTAAACATGATTTCTCCATGTGGCCTGCGCTTCCTGAGAGCATGGTGGCTGGGTTCAAAGAGCAAGCATTCTAAGATAATTAGATAGAATCTATATGGCCTTTAAAGCATCATTGTCTCCATGATCACAATCTTGCTTACATTCAAGAGGAAGGGAATATAGTTGCTAACTCTTAATAGAGGAGCTTTGATTTCACATAGCAGGAAGAGTGTGTGAGATGGGAGATGGTGTTGTGACATTTTGGAAAATAGAATCTGCCACATTGCTGACAGATAATTTCTACTCCAAGTTCATGAAAATAATTTTAACCCTTCTCCAGGTAAGAACCCATTCATTACCTTTGAAATATCCATAATACTTTGTAAAAATATTTTTTTAATCTTTCCTAGGATGTTATGTGCATCTGTTCACCAATATTTACAGATTTGCTTTGTAAGAGCATTCAAACATCATGTGAGTCATTTCCTTTGAGGAATAATGCTACATGTAAGAAATGTGAGAAAGATTATCCTTGCAGGTATAATTAATTTTCTGTTTATTTTTAATACAAAGTACATGGATTTTTAAATCATGTGAACAAAAATATAATGATGTTCTGGTTTTAACCCTAACTTTTACTTAATGGTATATAATATTCTATTTGAAGTTAAAGTAAATTTTTTTTGCATGTTTTGGGTTAATTGTTGTGGTATTAATTTAAAATAAATATTTGAGAAATTGAGAAATTCTCAAGCATAATTTAGGTATACGGTTATTAAAAAATACTTTGTTTAATAATGGAGGTTTTAATATAATCAAATAATAATTGAAGATCTAGAAAGAAAAGAGAGAGATATGTCTCCATAGTATTATTTTTGTTATACATATATAATATTGAAATATTTTAAAATAATAGAATATTTCTTCCTGTGTTTCACAAACCTCAGCAGATAGATATTAGTTAGGGTCTTTAGGCAGACTTTTAGGAATTCATTCTTTCTTTAAGTAATAATTTGCCACAGATTACTCATTTATAAATGGCAGAAGTGACCCAAGAATCTGGGTGTATAATTTAGTCAATTTTAAATAGCTTTATAGACATTTTCTCACATCATTAAGAAATACAATTTATACTCTTCACACTTGCCTGACTTTTATCTGACTGCTTCAAGTAAATTCTGTTGGGCATTATTGAAAAGCAGTAAGTAGCCTCAAAATTTTAGAATATTCATAAAGGCAGAAAATTAACATGTGGGGTACAGAATAGCCTTGGAACACACTGAAAAGAAACTTAGAATATGCATCCACTTCACACTGTATGATACTTTAATCTATTTCAAAGGAATCCAAATTTAAAGATTTTTTTTAAATTAACCTTTTGAAATGTGACTTTTTCAAAAGAACTGACAATAAACCTTATCATTATATCAAGATATTGAAAACTGTAATCCATTCTGTCAAATTTTTGCATGCCTTCAATTGTATATTAATTCATCAATAAACCTGAATACTATCCCTTTAAAAATATTTACTTTTAATTTACAATTCTATTTCTATGCCTCAATGTGCTAGTAGATTAGTGAATGTACTTAGAAAAGTGATCAACTTAAAAAAAAAAACAAATACATCTCCTCCCCAAACATAAAACTGACTGATTAAAAAAAAATTGCTAACTCTGACTCAGGTGAAATAATAGAGATATAATAAATATTAATTAAGTATGAAGTTGAAAAAAATGACAGGAAATTAATCTTGAAATCTATTTTTCTGTTCTCATATGAGTCAAAGAATATCAGTGAATATAATAATAAAAATAAAAACGACTTGACTTCAGTGCTTTTATGTTAAGGATTTATCTGTGTGTTACTAACTTATGAGGTATGTTTTCCTAGGTCAGTGACTCTAACACTTTGAAATTAGAACTTCTTGAAGAGCTAAAGTACAAATGGTTGTTCCTTGTCTCTAGTGTTTATAATTTAATAGATCTGGGATGAGGATTGCAAATGTACATTTCCAATCAAGTCGTAAGTGATGCTGATTGTCCTGATCTGGAGACACCATACTTTGAGAACTATTAGTCAAGATGAGCTTGGCCTTAAACAGCTTCAATGAGGGAAATTGTCTTATACCTTCCAACTAGTTTAACTACTCTTCTACTGAAGTTTTACTCTTCTGAATTTGGGAGAAAAAAAATGTGTCAAGGTGAAAAGGAGTCAAATGTGGAAAGGAGAAGAATAGAGTGATTATGATGATATTAGTTTCCCTACCTGAACATATGCTATAGATCTAAATTTATATGGGTAGATGAGAGAGAAACTGAAACAAAATTACCTCCCTGAGAAAGACAGTGAAACATTGGTTATGGAAATTTTTATTTGGTACCTAGTAACTTAAAGCAATACAGTTAGAAAGAAATTAATTTTCTCCAGTAGTTAAAAATCAGAAAATTCCTTACCACCTAGAAGACTGAAAGCTTTAGGTGTCTATGGGAAGTTAGCATAAAAATGTTATTATTATGAGCAGAAGGAGTTGTAAAGTATCAAAAGTGGCAATGCTGGGAGCAGGTAGCACACAAGTAGAGTCTGATAGGAAAGGAAAAGGAATAATTGATGTCTTGGAGGTATCAGACAGATAGAATACAACTTTGGTGACTCTCTTAAATTATAGAAGAATGGTTTGATTGTTTATGTGAATACTTTGGAAAATTATTTGAAAATAAAATGGAGTTTGTGAAATACAGCAACTGCAAAAAAAGAAACAAATATTTTAAAAAGGATACTTGACCAGTATTTGGGTGGTGGTTTAGCCATCCAAATACTAGGAATTCCTAGAGAATTCCTCTCACTCTTCTCCAGCATTACTGCTTTCCGTCTACAAAAGTGAAATAACTTTTTTACCCCCTACTTGCTTGTTTGGCCCTAGCAGGTAAATTTTTTCAAGGTATATTTGGCACTTTTGCATGTTGATACTTGAACCATTTGGAAGAAAGTCTGCACTTAAGATTAACACTGAAACTCCTACTAGAGGTTTTAAAGGGAAATGAAAGTCACACTCTACAGTAACACTAAGAAATTGTATTGCAGCATGTAATTGGGCAACTGGAGGTCATTTTGCAACCATGAAGTCCAGCAAGGAGACAAAGCCAAAACAGATATAGAGCTGAAAGGATTAAAAGGAGAGCCAGAACAATGATCAAATTGTTTATGAAGAAAGAACTACCTATAGACAGTTTAACAATATGAGCCAATAATTCCCTGCATTGGTTTAGTCTGTTTGAGTTAGGATTATGTTATTTACAACTGAAAACTTTCCACGTAAATATACTGAACTTCTTTACAAACCACTGAGTTAGATTGCTCACATATTTTAAATGGTTAATCTTCAGCCATACAAGTAGTTTTATTGCTCACTCAATTATTAGTTATCTACTAAAAGAAAATCAAATATTTCTGTAATATTGCTGACTATGAAAATGATTTTGAATTACTAAGAAATTCTACTCTACTGTAAGATATTCAAGAAGAATGTGTTTTATTCATGTCTGTATTTCTAAATTATTTTACTATGCTATGTATAGAATATTTTCTAACTAATTTATTTGATTCATTATATAATTTGTTTATAATAATGATTTTGGATCTTACTGATTGAAATGGAAGGTCTTGACTTGGGCGGTGACATGAAATGACTAATTTGTTTAATTTAAAGAATATTTATATATTTTTCAGAAACTTTCCTACTCTAAGTAAAACTCTTCTGCAACCATAAAAAAGGCCAAACAAATTAAAAAGAAAAAAAGCTCTTTTCATTAGAAACTTACATTCCAGTAGGCAGATACTGCTTTAAATGATCACTCTGACTCAATTTTATTAAATAGAGTGTAGGTGTATGTTCCCAAGGGAAGGGAGACCAGCTAGAAAGCTACTATGAGTATGTAGCCCAGAGTTGGTGGTGACTGACACTGCCATCAAGATGACTCGCGATGGTGGTAATTAAGGATCAGATCTGGAATATATTTCTAAGAATAGTTCAATCTTTTGCTGAAGGATTAGATGTGAGGTAACAGAAATAAGTCAAGGGTAACTCTAAGGTTGTTTGCTCAATTGAAAGGTTGGGAAATAAACCTTAACAGTTTTCTAATACCATTTCCAAAATGGAAAAATCTGTAGAAAGAAGGGCCTGGTTGGCAGGAGTGTAAAACAAGATGTCAGTTTTGAACATGTTAGACAAGACACCTAATAGAGCCAAGTAGAGATATTGAAGTAGATATCAAGTATGTTTCCATTTTAGAGAAGCTATCGGGCTAAATATATAAATTTGGAAGCCAGTGCCAGAGACATGACATTTAAAACCAGGAAACTTGCTGTGCAGAAACCTTTTAGTTTAATTATATTCAATTTTTGTCTATTTTTGTTTTGTTGCATTTCCTTTTGAGAACTTAGTCATTAATTCTTTGCCTAGGCCAATGTCTGGAAGAGTTTCTCCTAGTTTTTTTTTCTAGGATTTTTAAAATGACAGGTCTTAAGTTTTTAATCTAACTTGAGTTAATTTTTGAATATGGTAAAAGATAGGGGTCTAGTTTTATTCTTCTGCATATAATTCTTTATTTTTCCCAGCACTATTTATTGAATAGGATGTTCTTTCCCCAATGTATATTTTTGTTGACTTTTTCAAAGATCAATTTGTTGTAGGTATGTGGTTCTCTATTCTGTTTCATTAATCTATGTGTCTATTTTTATATATCAATACCATGCTGTTTTGGTTACTATAACCTTTTAGTATAATTTTAAGTCACCAGAGTAAACAGACAAACTATAGAATAGGAGAAACATTTTCAAGGAAAACATACATCAAAAGGCTAGTATTCAGAATCTACAAGAAACTCAAACACCTCTGCAAGGAAAAAATCAAATAACCCCACTAAAAAGTCAGCAAAAGGCATGAACAAATATTTTTTAAAAGAAGATATAAAAGCAGCCAAAAAACATATAAAAAATGCTCAACATCTTTAATCATCAGATAAATACAAATTAAAACCACAGTGAGATGCCATTTTACACCAGTCAGAATGGTTATTACTAAAAAGTCAAGAAACAACAGATGTTGGCAAGGATGCAGAGAGAAGGGTATGCTTACACACTGTTGATAGAAAAATAAATTAGTACATCTCTATAGAAAACAGTATGAAGATTTCTCAAAGAGCTAAAAATAGAATTACCATTTTATCCAGCAATGCTACTACTGGATATCTAGCCAAAAGAAAAGGAATCATTATATCAAAATAGCACCTGCACTCATATGTTTATCACAGTACAATTCACAATAGCAAAGTCATGGAATCAGCCTAAGTGTCCATCAATGGATGACTGGATTAAAAACATGATACACACACACACACACACACACACACACACACACACACACACACACACCATGAAATACAACTTAGCCACCCAAAATAATAAAATCATGTCTTTGCAGTAGCACGGATGGAACTGGAGACCATTATCATAAGTGAAATGACTCGGAACCAGAAAGTAAAAAACCTAATCTTTTCACTTATAAGTGGAAACTAGACAATGGGTACACATTGACATACAGGGTAAAATAATAGATATTGGAGACTCTAAAAGGTGGGATGGTGGGAGAGGGTGTAAGAATGAAATATGAACTATTGGGTAAAATGTTCACTATTCGGGTTATGGGTACACTAAAAGCCCAGACTTCACCGCTATGTAATATACCCATGTTAAAATAACAAAAAACAAGCAAACAAACAAAAAACTGCACTTGTAGTCTCTAAATGTAAAATAAATAAATAAATAAAAGAGGTTAGCTTAGAAAAAATAAAAATACAACAGGAAACTCAATGAAATTACCTCACATTGAACCCAGATAGGAACATGAGAAGGTTTTCGACTGAGACTTGGGACACTCATATTTGAGGGAGTTAATGGATTAGAACATGAGATTTAAAAGGACTCCATGAGTTAGGATGATAAAAATACAGACAATTATTAGAGAAGCTAATAAACTGGCAACTAAGGAAAGTTCAAAATAGTTTATATTTAGATAGTAGTAGAAATGGGTTGGGATATAGGGCACAAGCAGAAGAGTTAGCTTAGATAGGATGGCAGATGTTAAATGAATTGTAATAGAAGAAAAAATAGAATAGGTTGCTTTGAATGTGTGGTTGTTGAATCATTTGGAAAGTGTCTTCTGATGGCTCTGTTACTCAAGTGAAATAAGCAAAAATGTCTAATGAAATAGTAATCCAAGTGAGTATGAGGAAAATAGAGTATTACTGATATGCTACAGCATCTCCTTGAAGTTAGCGAACATGGATTTAAAGTAAGTTCAGCCTACAATAATATGTGTCAATCTCAAACCAAGTGTAATTTACTCATATACCCGTCAGAAATAGCTAGGGTGTTGAATTAAAGTAGGGTCGAGCTTTATCAGGCTATGACAATGGAGGGGAAAGAGTGATTTAAGGGTGTATGCAATTAGTGATTATAGAAGTAAAAGGTGTAATCTAATTCACACAAGGAGGCAACAGAGAGTATGATGGGGATGACAGACACTGAAGATTGGTAGGGTCAATGGATTGTGGGATGGAATAAACGTTGGGGGAGAAAAGGACTACAAGGAGTAAATTAGAAAGAGAAATGAGGCCGTGCATAGAATATAAAATACTTAACATTAAGATTATGTAAGTTAACATTGAGAAGATGATGTAGTTATATATTATGGTAGTATAGAGCATACTAGAGTAGGAGTAGATTGTAGAGTTAGAGGGAAGATTCAGATCTTTGAGTTGAGACAGTATGCTCCTAGGAGATGCTAATGTTGCAAATAAATAAACTTTGCAGATATTGAAATAATGAAGGCACTTAGGTGTTCTCCATGCCTTGGCTATTGTGATAAAGAGGATGTGATGTGTTTGCATGTGTATGCATGTAATATTACACAGCCACATAAAGAAGGAAATTTTGTCATCTGCGGCAGCATGGATGAATGTTGAGGGCATTATGCTAAGTGAAATGAATCAGCCAGATAAAGACAAACACTGTATCATCTAACTAATATGTAAAATTTTTAAAAGTCAAAGTCATAGAAACAGAATACTGGTTTTCAGGCAATTGGGGTTGAGAGAAATGGGGGGTGTTCAAAGGGTTATAATATTGTATATTTCAGTAGAGTTAGAAGGGAGAACTTGAAATGTTTCCAAGACATAGAAATAGTAAATACTTGAAGTGATGGATGCCCTAAATCTGACTTGATTATCACACATTCTCAGCATGAAACAAAACATCACGTGTATCTCATAAATATGTACAAACAGTATTTATCAATAAAAAAATAAAGACGAAAAAGATGAATAACTTCTGGGGAATTAATGTTCAAGGTAATGACTATAGCTAAAAATGAGGCATTGCATACTTGAAATTTGCTAAGAGAATAGATCTTACCTGCTATCCCCCACATATACAAATGATAACTGTGCAAGGTGACAGATATGTTAACTAAGGATAATCATTTCACACTATATAATATACCAAGTCATTATCACACTTTACACTTTAAATTTGTACAACTTTGTCAATTATGCTTCGATAAAGTTGGAAAAAAATAGCAAAGTAAGGTTGAGATTGCTGGGCGCAGTGGCTCACGCCTGTAATCCCAGCACTTTGGGAGGCTGAGACGGGAGGATCACCTGAGGTTGGGAGTTCAAGACCAGCTTGACCAACATGGAGAAACCCCATCTCTACTAAAAATACAAAATTAGCCGGGCATGGTGGCGCATGCCTTTAATCCTAGCTACTTGGGAGGCTGAGGCAGGAGAATCAATAGAATCTGGGAGGCAGAGGTTGCGGTGAGCTAAGATCGCGCCATTGCACTCCGGCCTGGGCCACAAGAGCGAAACTCTGTCTCAAAACAGACAGACAAACAAATAAAGTAAGGTTGGGATTACATTAGAGAAAGATATAACATGTCAGAGGTTAAATGTTAAAGAATTAGAGGGGATGCTCAGGAAGGTTGGCTATGACTATGACAGGAGAAGATATGGGTAGCATGGTTTGATGGCATCATCTTGAAATAAGTAAAGCTTTTAAGGAAGAGGACGGGACATGAGGAAAAGATGAAGACAACTATACAACATGTAGACATTGGGCTGTGAGAGAAGAGGGAGAAAGAATAACCACCACTTGAGAGTTTACAGTCAAAGGAAAGAGATTCCTAAGAAGAATATGAAAGAAGTGTACAGAGCTGCTTGGGGGAAAAGAACCACACAGTGAGGGATGACTTGGAAACCACTGGCTTCCTGGGATATCTGAGGTAATGGTAAAAAGGGATTAATTTTAATGGCCTCAAAGGTAGATCATAGTGGGTTGATTGTGAGTGTTGGCATAAAGTTAATAGTGCTGGGTTCTCTCAGGAGCTCACAGAGCTCGATAGACATTTGGAAATTTCTCCAAAGGCAGTGCTACAGCTACAGGACTCTGTGCTGCACTTCACTTACACAGGTGGCAGTGTCCACGGCGCTACAGGACACAGCTCCACTGATGCTTCCTAGGGTCTCTGATCACCTCTTGGATGGAGGTTCATGAGTAGAGAAGGGAAAGTCATTGTGACCTGACATGTAGGTTTCTGAATTCTCCACCATACTTCCCACTTTTGTAGAGTAGAAAGTGTTTATTCACCAAAATCACTTAATGGCTTTGAAGATTATCATGAACTACATTATTAATACTGCCATTTTGCACACACACACACACACACGTGCGCACATACACACACACTAATTTTTACTGAATGCAATGACTCCAATATTCTCAACATATCAGGAGGATCAAATTTTTACTATTTAGAGTAAAATGAGGAAATGAGCCAGGAAATAAAGTTTTGTTAAACCAGCTGGTGTCTTTCTCATAAAAATTTTTCAAGTCTGAAAATCAACTATTTAACCAAATTAATTGGGAGAAAACTTTGTAAAATATGCCACTGACTAAATATTAGAGAAATATGAATACTATGTTTTTAAAAATCAGAAATGTTGTGATATAGAGAATTTTGCTTTCTAAGCCTTTTATTTTCTCCTCCAAAATTCTGAGATATTTCAACGATAATGATATTCTCTTTTATATTCTCAGCTTATTGTGTTTTTTTTTGTTTTCTACTCACTGGATTTAGATTATTATAACTTACACTACTTAAATTTCAATTTGATGTATTAACATAACTTCCCCCACCCCCATCCCCAAGTCAGCTTCAGCATTTATTTTATTTGGCTTGTGATAAATCTCACCACATCAGTCATGGGTAAAGTTAAGGTTTTCAGTTTATGTCACAAATATAACTAAGGTTTTCAGTTTATGTCACAAATATAACTAACTAAGTATGCACTGTGACTATGAAATAAGACACTGCATTTGCAGAAATGCATAGGTTGACATATTTCAACATATAATAAAATTATATTTTCTTATTAATTTTGAAAAATGATTTTTAAAATAGCAATCACATATTTGCATGAGGAATGTATTAATTAATGGAATGCTTCCACTTGGTCACTCAATAATTTTCAACAGGAAAGCTTAATCTTTTGGAGTTAATTATCTCAAAAGCTGGGCTGCTATATTTTTCTTTGCTTGAAATCAATAGTCACATTTATAAGGCTAATTTTTTTAAATTATATTTTAAGTTTTAGGGTACATGTGCACAATGTACAGGTTAGTTACGTATGTATACATGTGCCATGCTGGTGCGCTGCACCCACTAACTCATCATCTAGCATTAGGTATATCTCCCAATGCTATCCCTCCCCCGTCCCCCCACCCCACAACAGTCCCCAGAGTGTGATGTTCCCCTTCCTGTGTCCATGTGTTCTCATTGTTCAATTCCCACCTATGAGTGAGAACATGTGGTGTTTGGTTTTTTGTTCTTGCCATAGTTTACTGAGAATGATGATTTCCAATTTCATCCATGTCTCTACAAAGGACATGAACTCATCATTTTTTATGGCTGCATAGTATTCCATGGTGTATATGTGACACATTTTCTTAATCCAGTCTATCATTGTTGGACATTTGGGTTAGTTCCAAGTCTTTGCTATTGTGAATAATGCCGCAATAAACATATGTGTGCATGTGTCTTTATAGCAGCATGATTTATATTCCTTTGGGTATATACCCAGTAATGGGATGGCTGGGTCAAATGGTATTTCTAGTTCCAGATCCCTGAGGAATCGCCACACTGACTTCCACAATGGTTGAACTAGTTTACAGTCCCACCAACAGTGTAAAAGTGTTCCTATTTCTCCACATCCTCTCCATTACCTGTTGTTTCCTGACTTTTTAATGATTGCCATTCTAACTGGTGTGAGATGGTATCTCATTGTGGTTTTGATTTGCATTTCTCTGATGGCCAGTGATGGTGAGCATTTTTTCATGTGTCTTTTGCCTGCACAAATGTCTTCTTTTGAGAAGTGTCTTTTCATATCCTTCTCCCACTTTTTGATGGGGTTGTTTGTTGTTTTCTTGTAAATTTGTTTGAGTTCATTGTAGATTCTGGATATTAGCCCTTTGTCAGATGAGTAGATTGCGAAAATTTTCTCCCATTTTGTTGCTTGCCTGTTCACTCTGATGGTAGTTTCTTTTGCTGTGCAGAAGCTCTTTAGTTTAATTAGATCCCATTTGTCAATTTTGGCTTTTGTTGCCATTGCTTTTGGTGTTTTAGACATGAAGTCCTTGCCCATGCCTATGTCCTGAATGGTAATGCCTAGGTTTTCTTCTAGGGTTTTTATGGTTTTAGGTCTAACGTTTAAGTCTTTAATCCATCTTGAATTGATTTTTGTATAAGGTGTAAGGAAGGGATCCAGTTTCAGCTTTCTCCATATGGCTAGCCAGTTTCCCCAGCACCATTTATTAAATAGGGAATCCTTTCCCCATTGCTTGTTTCTCTCAGGTTTGTCAAAGATCAGATAGTTGTAGATATGCGGCGTTATTTCTGAGGGCTCTGTTCTGTTCCATTGATCTATATCTCTGTTTTGGTACCAGTACCATGCTGTTTTGGTTACTATAGCCTTGTAGTATAGTTTGAAGTCAGGTAGCGTGATGCCTCCAGCTTTGTTCTTTTGGCTTAGGATTGACTTGGCAATGCGGGCTCTTTTTTGGTTCCATATGAACTTTAAAGTAGTTTTTTCCAATTCTGTAAAGAAAGTCATTGGTAGCTTGATGGGGATGGCATTGAATCTGTAAATTACCTTGGGCAGTATGGCCATTTTCATGATATTGATTCTTCCTACCCATGAGCATGGAATATTCTTCCATTTGTTTGTATCCTCTTTTATTTCCTTGAGCGGTGGTTTGTAGTTCTCCTTGAAGAGGTCCTTCACATCCCTTGTAAGTTGGAATCCTAGGTATTTTATTCTCTTTGAAGCAATTGTGAATGGGAGTTCACCCATGATTTGGCTCTCTGTTTGCCTGTTGTTGGTGTATAAGAATGCTTGTGATTTTTGTACATTGATTTTGCATCCTGAGACTTTGCTGAAGTTGCTTGTCAGCTTAAGGAGGTTTTGGGCTGAGACAATGGGGTTTTTTTGAATCAATCATTCTGAAATTTAACATAGGGAAAAGTTTTTTAAAGTTTAAATATAGTTTTTAACTTCAGTTTCTGGTCATAAACTATATAACTATTAAAAATATCTAGGACATTGTTGCCATTTTCTCATCAAGAGTAGCTTTTGCTACTATTAGTACAACTTTACATTCTGCAATATTGTTATAGGGGACAGGAGGTATCCTGTAATCTGGCCCCCTAAATGCCTCATTTAAGAACATATGTTCTCATCAGTATAAACTTTCTTCCTTCCTTCAATGTATTAATTTCCATATAAAAAATAATAAGTACAGACATGTGCAGATAAAATTTGAATTAACATCATGAAATCTTTAAGTCTTCCTGGCATACCTGATTAAAGGAACCTTAGCCCCATAATGCTTTGCACAACCTCCAATATTTGTTAATATCCAGTATTCTTCCACTGTGCCCTCTGTATCTCATTTTGTCCACAGAATATTTTCCAAGTATCCACAATGTATTTTTTTTTCTTTATTTTTTTATTTTTTAGAGACGGGGTCTCATGTTTTCACCCAGGCTGGCATGTAGTGTTGTGAACCAAGCTCATGTCAGTCTCAACCTCCTGGGCTCAAGCAATCCTCTCATCTCAGCCTCCCAAGTAACCGAGTAGCTGGGGCTATTCACCTGGCTAATTTTTTGAAAAAAAGAAATTGTGGATATGGGGTCTTACTATGTTGCCCAGGCTGGTCTGGAACTCTTGGAGTCAAGCGATCCTCCTGCCTCAGCCTCCCAAAGTGCTGGGATTACAGATATAAGCCACCATGCCCAGCCCACAATATTTTTTCTACACTTTCTTTTTTTTTTCTCACTGAAACCTGAGGACAGTTTTTCTTGTAGCCTTCTGAGTTGGTCACTATTCATTCTTCTACAGTTGTGTACCACAAGCAGTGAAGTGTATAGACAGCGTTGCCCTTGTTGCCATATCCAAACCATTTTTTCCCTTCTCCTTCTGAAAACCCTAGCCAGCAGCTGTATCCTCTCTCTCTCTCTGACTCTCTCTCCCCCTCCCCCTCTCCCTGGCTCCTTTTCTAGTAGCTTTTCTCTCAGTTTCTGCTTATCCTTTACTAAATGTTTTAGCATCTAGTTTGCTGACCTTTTCTTTATCACCACTGTGGTCATATTTTTTGATAACTTTGGTATCCCTCTTGGAAATCCACTCACTTTGGTTGTTTAAATTTTTTGATAATTATTTTGCTAATTTCCCCCTCTCCTTCACCTCAGTCCATCTCCCATGGTCTTATCCTATAAGTTATCATGCCTGTAATTGCACACCCTGAAATACCTTTAATTTAAATTCTTTCACTCTCTGATCCCCACTTCCTGTATTTCAAGTTCACTCACTCATGTACTGTAATGACAAAATTTCATAAATTTTTAAAAAAGCAACAGGACCTCCAATTATATGACTACATTGACATTCCTGTGTCTAGTACCCCCTGCAGGTCCCCATTTTCTTTTAAAAAACATACTTACACATCCACTTTCAAATTCCTTGATTCTCTTTTTCTATGTTCCATTGACCTGAAAACACCAAACCTGTTTAATTCTCATCCTACCGTTAAACTCTTGTCCATTTTATATATATCTAATATAGAAGCTCAAACTTAATGTATTCCAAATTCATAATTGATTACTGAGCCCTGAACAAAGCTTCTTTTCTGCCAGTATTCATTTACATTACTCTTTGATTTCTTCTTTTCTCTCTTTTGACACGTCTTGTCCATCAACAAATCCTTTAAACCCTCCCATAACTACATATCATGGATATGAACACTTTTATCATTAGGAATGTTAACACCCTTGTTCAAGCCAAATTCTCAGCTGGAACATTTCAATAGCCTCCCTCTTGACCTCATTGTTTTGAACCTTCATTCAGGTACATGTCAAATAGTGAATGGAAGTCTCATCAAAAAAGCTAATATTTTGGCGGAGATTTGAATGATGCGAGGGAATGTGCAGCTGTCTAAGGGAAGAGTGTTCATGGCAGAGGGAGTACCTATTGCAAAATCCTTGGCCTATTCAGGCCCTATCCATGCATGAGTCCAGTCTAACTGCTCTGGAGAAAGCAAGGGAAGTAGCAGAAATGAAGTTAGAAGAGAAACCAGAATCTGGGGCAGCTTTAGATCATGAATGCCTTTGTAAAGTCCTTCATTTTCACTCTAAGTACAATGGCAAGTATTGCAGTGTTGCTGGCAAATGAGTTACTTTATTTGGTTTATATTTTTAAATTGTTGTGTGACTGTTGTTTTGAAAGGAAACTGTACAGACACAAGGGCACATGCAAAGAGACCTGTTAATAAGCTATTATAGTAATTACAGTATAGTAAACTGGGTAGGACAGTGACTTAGATTAGAATTGGAGAGAGGGCATAATAAGAAGGGGTTGGATTGTGGATGTATATTTAAGATGGAGTCAATACAATGTTTCTTTAGAGCGGATTGAATGAGAAAGAAAAAGAACAAATATATTGGCTCTATAGTTTTTGACCTGAGAAACTAGAAAACAGATTGTGATTATTTTAGATGCTGAAAGTTACAGGTAAAGTAACTGTAAAATAGTTTGCTTGTTTATCATTTTTTATCCACAAAAAAGAATATATATGTTTTAAAATCATGTTATTCCTCTGCCAATGCCATTCAGGGGGTTCCCGTGCATTAATAAAACCTAAAGTATTTTAAATGCTTACAAGGTGAGCCATATTTTCCTCCTGCCTATCTCTCTGCCACCATCTCCTACTAAGTCACCACTTTGGTCTTTGAGATGTTTCCTGAATATCTCAAGGACCTCTTGCTTCAATCCTTGGTATTTGCCTTTCCCTTTTCTGAAGTGCACATTTCCCAGACAGCACAGTAGCAATTTGTACACTTCCTTCAGCCATTCACTCAAATATTATCTCCTCAAAGATGTCTTTCCTGTTGATCCTGACACAGCCTTGAAATACCTCTTCTCAATTTCTCCCTCCACTTTTATCGGTTTTAATTTATTAATTATATAGCACCTCTCCCTATCTGTCACTATACTCATGTATTTATAATTTTCTCTCCCTTCCCCATAAACTAATGTATAATAAGGCAGAGGAGTTGCTGTTTTAATAGGTTTAATACTAGCTTTCTATATTCTAGGATAGAGGTATAGCATGTTAATTTTAATTATCAAATACAGATGGTTTTGTCTAAGATTCTTATTTTCATCTTTAAATCACTTTTACATCTGAATTATTTGCTTCCTGAAATCCAGGCAGTGACCTTGTTGCTCAGTTTATGCTTAAAAGATAAATTCATCATATGAAGTAGTCCATAGGTCTGGACATTTGTCTATGCCCACACAAGTCACAGTATGTAAGCATGCAATAGTATTGCAAAGATTCTATTATAAGAATAAATCTTAATTTACTTCAAAGGGTTTTTTGCCCAAGTAGCGGAATAGGTTCAATGACAGCATTGAAACTGATACAAGTAACTTTCCATCAGAATCCCCATGTATGCATGATGAAACCAAAGAGACAAATGTGAACTACAATGCTTTAAGACAAAAATTACAACTTAAACATTATAAAAATTACAAATATAACTGTTCATTTCCTGGAAAAAAATGTATCAAAAGTTGATTCCAAGTTTACAAACAAGTGATGAGAGTATTTCAAGTTACCACAGCAGAGAAAACTATCTGAAGTTAGTTTATAACTATCTCCTTTCCATTTACTAGAATAGTATAGAATTTGAAAAAGCTATTTCAGCAGCTAGAAAACTTTAAGCAAAAGTATACTTCCAATTTGAAGTTAACTCTTTAAAAAATATTTTTTCTAATTTTTTGCTTTATGAAATTATTATTTTAATACAGTAATAATTTTTACTGTTAGTAAAATATTGAACATTTTATTTTTAATTATATTAAATTTATGGGCTTTTCTTAATATTTTGAAAAAATACATTTTGAAACCTATTTAAAATGTAGTAAATATTGTTTCACTGATTTTTATCTTATAAATTAACTTTAAAAATAAATAGCAGTTATAAATACTAGTAGTTCTGTATTACATAAAACATTTACCAAAATGCTGGTGATGGAATTTTGTTCTGATATTGCTGTCCCTACTCTATTCATGCTGTGTTCCCAACAGTGCCTGACACTTCTCATTAAAATCAGTAGTGTGCATTCCATAGGTCACTGGACAAGTTTGGAATGCTATGTCCAAGAAATAAAGCTAATTAACTAATGAATGTTGGCTTTATTGGCAAAAGGAAACCTAATAATAGAAAGATATTTAAATCAGTGGTAAGAAATCATTTTAGGAAGGAAAAAGTAAAAGAGGATAAGAGTATTGTTTTTGTCTCCTCTTTTCCACTATTATATTTTATTTTCATTATTTTTTTTCCTTCCCTTTCATGTATCTTCACAGATCCTCGCTGCTTTCCTATGTATCATTTCCCATTTTACCACTAAAATGACACCTTAAATATTTCCATCACAATCCTGAGGTTACCCTTACCCTAAAGTCTCAAAATAGTTTTACATAAAAACAAACTATAAATTGGACATTTTAGAAACACGGTAATCTGAAAGGTCTTCCTTTTCTCTCCCCCTGTATTTAAAACAATTGGCCTCTGACTAAAATGGCTGCTGGACACCTAGAGTAGCTCAAATTAGTTAGCTATAAGTCTCTCTGAGCATTTCAACAGAAGTTAATGCACTTTTGTAAACACATTTATTAAAAAGGTCCATGTTGTTCCAGAGTTTGCTTTTGTTTACTTTGCTTTTGTTTTCTCTGTTTTACATTCTTAAATGTCAAGGCTACTATTGAAACTTTCTTTTTCCTTGACAGCAGGCTGAGTTGATAGGATGACATTTTTCTTATGAGTAAGACTTGGAAGTGCTTCTTAGATTTCAAGCCATCACTGGGAGTGGGGGATTGGAGATGATTGCCTGAAACTCAGTAGGAAAGTTTTCCCTTTTTGAAAAAAAAAACTTTAAAGTTCAGGGATACAAGCGCATGTTTCTTACATAGGTAAACTTGGGTCATGGGGATTTGTTGTGCAGATTATTTTATCATCCAGGTATTAAGCCTAGTACACATTAGTCCTCCGCCTTTGGGTCAAACCTCTCTGAGCCACACATTGCAGATAGTATTTGGGGGGTCTCTTACCTAGTGTGTACTGAGAGTAGAAAATCTTTGGCCTTTTTTTTTTTTTTGGATCAATAAAACCTGCTCTGTTTAGAAACACTTTCTCAGAGTTGCTGCTGCCCAGTGTTCATTCAACACCATTTGGGTCTGATTCTTCTTAGTGGCTGAATATTGGTTCTTCAATTCATAGACCTGATCCTGCTCTTTGGAAACTGCAACACAAAGTAAGCCCGAAAGTCACATGTGTCTTTAACTGCTCTTGGCCAATTCAGTCCATTCCAACTCAAAAGGAAAATTGAAACTCATCAACTTTTAGGATATGCTAAAGCTCTTCTCTTCTTCTCTATGCTATTACATGCTCATCCTCAATAGGAAGGGTTGCTACCTTTCATTAAGTTGGTATTTGGAGTGATTTCTGGATATCTAGCTAGCCCCTCAGAATGAGAGACGTAAAGTACATATATCTTACTATCTGTGGAGTAGTAGAGTAAAATACATAAAGGTCTTCATCTATGGAATAGCAGAGTAAAATAATGCACTTAAAGTTAGGACAAACTTAATTTTATTAACCACTGTAAAATTTGTAAGTAATATGGCCAAAGCAACTAATGTAATTTCCATGGGTATGTTTCCTCATTTATAAAAGTGATAAATAATAATGTATTTCACAACTTACAATAATTGAATGAGAACTTAAGAAAATTGTGTAAAAGTAATTAGCCTAGTGACTGGCATATGGTGGGTGCTGAAAAAAAGTGGATGATTATTTCTGATATGAATGGAGAAATAATTTAATTCTGCAAGATGAAAATGCAAAGCTGTGTGCCTCAAACTATAGGAAAGGTAAATTACTAAAGCATTTTATTGATGCTATTTCAGTGAAATTGTGCCAACATGGCCTTTGATCCCTTTTATGAAATTATTTTGTGTTCTTATAACAGATTTAAAATAATAAATACATAGTTAAATTCACTTCATTAATAAATCAGCTTCTACCAACTTAAAGTCATGAGAAGTCATATTTTTGGTCTTAAAATATTTGGTGTTTACATTAGAAAAAACATTCTTTCATTTGGGGTCCCATTTATTTTATAATAGAAAGTTTACTAAATATGATTTAAGGCACAGGACTGTTTCCTACAAATTAATTAGAAGTGAGGGCAGTGGAAGCCAGAACACCAGTGTGTGTTCTTTAGCAACTTATAGATTGCAGTTAATGAAATACAGTAGACTGGAATATAGATTGTTTGAAAAACAATTTTAAAAATGACAACTAACAAACAGAAGTCCTATAAGTAGCCCAACTATAACTAGACCGTTATCATCCACTGGCACTCTATCCTGTCTCAAATTCATGTAGTCATCATTAACTCCTGCTAGCACATCATCAGTATATACTGGCTCTACTAAACATTAAAAAATCACATTTGTCATGTTTTTTCTTCATATTTCACTAGTTTTCCAAAACATATACTGTATTGTTAAGTATCAGTTTAGGCCAAAGTTTATTTTATTCTTAAATTCCCAAAAGAGATCATTAAGAGCATACATTGAAAATGTAGTTTACTGTAATTCTTTCCAAATACATAAATAGGAGCTTTTTGGCTAAGATCACAGGTATGTATTAAAAAATGATTAATAATACCATATAATTTAAACAAAGCCTTATTCCTTTTGGAATAATGTTAATAGGCTTTTCTGAAAACATTTAAATTATAATTTTTCTAATTTACACTGATGTATTTACAGCTGTATATCAGGATTTACTGAAAAAAACTGTGAGAAAGCAATTGACCACTGTAAACTGCTCAGCATCAACTGTCTGAATGAAGAATGGTGTTTCAATATAATTGGAAGATTCAAAGTAAGTAATTTAATACATGGCAACATAAGTTAGCCCTTCAAAATACAATAGACTCAGTTAGTCTATATTTCAAATGCTCTTATTAATCTTAGCCAGAGAAACATATCCTTATATCTATATTTAAATGTGAGTTATGTAAAGCTTAGCAATAGGGGTTTTAATTTATAAGAATTATGTTGGGAGGGAATTAATAAATGTTCTAGGAGGTGTTTTTATTATAAAGTAAGTATAAAGCTAATTGAGGCCTGGTGATATACTTCTTAGTATATAAAACCCCAGTTACTAATACTTTAAGCTCTTTAACTAGATGAGAAATAAAATCAGTCTAGTGGTTGATTGTTAGGGTCCACAAAATATGCTTTTTTAGTGAATAGTTTTTGAAATTACTTTACAAATACAAAATGTCTGTACTACACATGGTAAGGGATATTCCACAACCTAGCAATGTTACTTGTAGGTATGTCTATTAGAGAAATTATCAGATATTTACTGAGAGAGACATACACAGGAATTTTCACTTCAAATCTGAAACTAAACCTGGTAAATAAGAGAACGGACAAATTCATCATGGTGTAGTCTCACAATGGAATTATAAAAACTAGTTAAAATGAATAGACAATAGCTATATGTATTAATACTTACAAATATAAAAATATTGAATTTTAAAATTTTATAAACTTGAGGATTACACACACCAGCTTTATCTGAAAGGCAAACTATAGGGAGGTAGATGGGAGAATGAAATCAGGGAGAGTACAAAGGGAACTTCCAATGTTTCTGCAAAGCTTTTTTTTTTCAAAAAATAATTTTTTTGAGAAATAAGACAAGAAAAATAAATACAACATGAAGATAGAATAAATAAAATGGTATGGTTTTGATAAGCATTCCTCATTACTATTCATTGGAATGCTATAAAAATTAAAAAGTAGAACTAAGAAGTTAAATATGGCAAAATTCCAGGATTCATTATAACTTTTTAGAAACCAATAGTGCTTCTGTAATATGGCAACAACTAATTAAGACATGACACTAAAAATTAATACTATAAAAGTGAAATAAAGTATGATTATAATTGTCTCAAAACACTTCAGAAAACATTTAACAAAATGTGGCTAAGATCTCTATGCTGAAAACTAAAAAAAAGATTAGAGGGAAATGGAATATGCCCTATAAATAAAGTTATAAAATATTTATGAAATAGAAAAATTAATATTTTATGATGTCCTTTCTTCTTACTGATATTAACAAATGTTTTGTAGAAATGGGTAAGCTGATTATAAAACTGATATGAAACGTCAAAGGACTTCAAATAGCTAAGCAATCAAAAATAACAGCAAATCTGAAGGATTTTACCAACCTGATTTCAAGAGTTACTTTCAAGCTAGAGTATCAAGGCAATGTGGTACTAGCATGTGATGCTTAATACTGAGGGTCAACTTGATTGGATTCAAGGATGTCAAGTATTGACCCTGGGTGTGTCTGTGAGGGTGTTGTCAAAGGAGATTAACATTTGAGTTGGTGGGCTGGGGAAGGGAGACCCACCCTTAATCTAGGTGGGCACCATCTAATCATCTGCCAGCACAGCCAAAATATAAAGCAGGCAGAAAAACATAAATAGGCTAGACAGGCTTAGCCTCCCAGCCTACATCTTTGTTCTGTGCTGGATACTTCCTGCTCTCGAACATTGGACTCCAAGTTCTTTGCTTTGGGACTCAGACTGGCTTCCTTGCTCCTCAGCTTGCAGACAGCCTACTGTGGGACCCTGTGATAGTATGAGTTAATACTCCTTAATAAACTCCCCTTTTCATATAAATCTATCCTATTAGTTCTGTCCCCCTAGAGAACCTTGACTAATACATAGCATAAGGATGAACTAGAAGAGCACACACACACACACACACACACACACACACACACACACACACACAGAGGAAAGGAGACTTCAAAGATAGATCCACGGGGAAATTTCTGTTGAATTCCCTCAGAAACACTAAGATAATTTAACTAACAAAGGAACATCTTATCACAACACACATGGAAAAAAAGTGAGTCCATATCCCCTACGTCAAACCACACAATAATTAATTTGACATGAAGCATAAACCTGAGAGTTAAAGAGAAATTTATAAAACTTCTTGAGAATAAAATGGAGCAAAAAAAAAAAAAAAAAAACACCAAAGGATGAGGTTCTTCATGACCATGTATTAGACTAAACTTTGTTAGATAGGGCACAAATTAATTGGTTTATTGAACTTAATTAAGTTTAAAAACTTCTGTGCATCAAAGTAATTTTTAAAAAGACAACAATAACCAGTGATTACCCACCTAAATTTATATTAGAAATAAACATAATCATAATAGAGGTATGTACTGTTCACATGAGATAATATGAAATAAAATGTCTTTATTGAAACAAAATGATGGAAAAAATTGAGAGAAATACTAACCAGAAACCAGTTGATGCCTACCTTACTTTTATGTAAAACAGACCTTAAAACTTAAAATCAGAAATCATAAAATTCTGATTTTTAAAATTCTTAAAATTAAGAAATTAATAAATCCTCTTTCATGGTGGGGTGTATTTGTTTCTTCATGCAAAACTATATGTGAGTTATATTGTTAATTTTTAAAGGGAAAGAACAAATAAAATTAGAAAATATATTGTATAGATAATCTTTAGATATAAATGAAAATAAAGGTAAATACACATTTTAAATGTTCAAACTGTCTCAAATTTTTAAATTTAATTTTATTTTGCTTTAAGTTCTGGGATAGATGTACTGAATGTAAACGTTCGTTACATTGGTATACATGTACTATGGTGGTTTGCGGCACCTATCAACCCGTCATACAGGTTTTAAGCCCCACATGCATTAGGTATTTGTCCTAATACACTCCCTCTCCTTCCTGCCACTCTGCCCGACAGGCCTCGGTGTGTGATATTTCCCTCCCTATCTCCATGTGTTCACACTGTTCAACTCCCACTTATGAGTGAGAACATGTGGTGTTTGCTTTTCTGTTCCTATGTTGCTTTGCTGAGGATGATGGTTTCCAGCTTCATCCACATCTCTGCAAAGGACATGAACTCATTCTTTTTTATGATTGCATAATATTCCATGGTGTATATGTGCCACAGTTTCTTTATCCAGCCTATCATTGATGGGCATTTGGGTTGGTCCCAAGTCTTTGCTGTTGTAAATAGTGCTGCAATAAACATACGTGTGCATGCTTCTTTATAGTAGAATGATTTATAATCATTTGGGTATATACTTAGTAATGGGATTGCTGGGTCAAATGGTATTTCTAGTTCTATATCCTTGAGGAATCACCACACTGTCTTCCACAATGGTTGAACTAATTTACACTCCCACCAAAAGTGTAAATGCATTCCTATTTCTCCGCATCCTCGCCAGCATCTATTATTTCCACGTTTTAATGATCATCATTCTAACTGGCATGAGATGGTATCTCGTTGTGGTTTGGATTTGCATTTCTCTAATGACCAGTGATGATGAGCTTTTTTTTATATGTTTGCTGGCTGCATAAATGACTTCTTTTGATGGGTGTCTGTTGATAAACTTTGCCCATTTTTTGATGAGGTTGTTTTTTTCTTGTAAATTTGTTTAACTTCCTTGTAGATTCTGGGTATTAGCCCTTTGTCAGATGGATAGTTTGCAAAATTTTTCTCCCATTCTGTAGGTTGCCTGTTCACTCTGAGGACAGTTTCTTTTGCTGAGCAGAAGCTCTTCATTTTGATTAGATCCCATTTGTCAATTTTGGCTTTTGTTGCAATTGCTTTTGGTGTTTTAGTCATGAAGTACTTGCCCATGCCTATGTCCTGAATGGTATTGCCTAGGTTTTCTTCTAGGGTTTTTATGGTTTTAAATTTTACATTTACGTCTTTAATCCACCTTTAGTTAATTTTTGTATAAGGTGTAAGGAAGAGGTCCAGTTTCAGTTTTCTGCATATGGCTAGCCAGTTTTCCCAAAACCATTTATTAAATAGGGAATTCTTTCCCCATTGCTTGTTTTTGTCATGTTTGTCAAAGCTCAGATGCTTGTAGATGTGTGGTGTTACTTCTGAATCCTTTGTTGTGTTCCATTGGTCTATATATCTATTTTGATGCCAGTACCATGCTGTTTTGGTTACTGTGTAGCCTTGCAGTATAGTTTGAAGTTAGGTAGCATGATGCCTCCAGCTTTGTTCTTTTTGCTTAGGACTGTCTTGGAAATATGGCCTTTTTTTTGTTGCATATGAAATTTAAAGTATTTTTTTCTAGTTCTGTGAAGAAAGTCGATGGAAGATTGATGGGAATAGCATTGAATCTATAAATTTCTTTGGGCAGTATGGCCATTTTCACAATATTGATTTTTCCTGTCCATGAGCATGGAATGTTTTTTTCCATTTGTTTGTGTCATCTCTTATTTCCTTGAGCAGTGGTTTGTAGTTCTCCTTGAAGAGGTCCTTCACATCTCTTGTAAATTGTATTCCTAGGTATTTTATTCTCTTTGTAGCAATTCTCAATGGGAGTTCACTCATAATTTGCCTCTCTGCTTGTCTGTTAATGGTGTATAGGAATGCTTGTGATTTTTGCACATTGATATTGTATCCTGAGACTTTGCTGAAGTTGCATATCAGCTTAAGGAGTTGTTGGACTGAGACGATGGGGTTTTCTAAATATACAATCATGTATTCTGCAAACAGACACAACTTGACTTTCTCTCTTCCTATTTGAATACCCTTTATTTCTTTCTCTTGCTTGATTGCTCTAGCCAGAACTTCCAACATTATGTTGAACAGGAGTGGTGAGAGAGGGCATCCTTGTCTTGTGTCGGTTTTCAAAGGGAATGCTTTCAGCTTTTGCCCATTCAATATGATATTGGCTATGGGTTTGTCATAAATAGCCCTTATTATTTTGATATATGTTCCACCAACACCTAGTTTATTGAGAGTTTTTAGCATGAAGCGGTGTTGAATTTCGTCGAAGGCCTTTTCTGCATCTATTGGGATAATCATGTGGCTTTTGTCATTGGTTCTGTTTATGTGATGGATTGTGTTTATTGATTTGCATATGTTGAACTATCTTTGCATCCCATGGATAAAGCCAAATTGGTCGTGGTGGATAAGCTTTTTGATGTGCTGCTGGATTCCATTTGCCAGTATTTTATTGAGGATTTTCACGTCGAAGTTCATCAGTGATATTGGCCTGAAATTTTATTTTCTCATTGTGTCTCTTCCAGGTTTTGGAATCAGGATGATGCTGGACTCATAAAATGAGTTAGGGAGGAGTCCCTCTCTTTTTTTTCTGTTTTATTTTATTTATTTATTTTTTCTTGTTTATCTTTTTTATTATTGTACATTAAATTCTGGGGTACATGTGCAGAATGTGCAGGTTTGTTACATAAGTATACATGTGACATGGTGTTTTGCTGCACCCATCAACCTGTCATCTACATTATATATTTCTCCTAATGTTATCCCTCCACTAGTCCCCCACCCCCTGACAGGCCCCGGTGTGTGATGTTCCCCTCCCTGTCTCCATGTGTTCTCATTGTTCAACTCCCACTTATGAGTGAGAACATGTGGTGTTCGGTATTATGTTCCTGTGTTAGTTTGCTGAGAATGATGGTTTCCATCTTCATCCATGTCCCTGCAAAGAACATTAACTCATCCTTTTTTATGAATGCATAGTATTCCATGGTGTATATTTGCCACATTTTCTTTATCCAGTCTATCATTGATGGGCATTTGGGTTGGTTCCAAGTCTTTGCTATTGTGAACAGTGCCACAATAAACTTTTGTGTGCATGTGTCTTTATAGTAGAATGAATTATAATCCTTTGGATATATACCCAGTAATGGGATTGCTGGGTCAAATGTTATTTCTAGTTCCAGATCCTTGAGGAATCGCCACACTGTCTTCTACAATGATTGAACTAATTTACACTCCCACCAACAGTGTAAAAGCGTTCCTATTTCTCCACATCCTCTCCAGCATCTGTTGATTCCTGACATTTAATGATCGTCATTATAACTGCCATGAGATGGTATCTCATTGTAGTTTTGATTTGCATTTCTCTAATGACCAGTGATGATGAGCTTTTTTTCATATGTTTGTTGACTGCATAAATGTCTTCTTTTGGAGAAGTGCCTGTTCATATCCTTCACACACTTTTTGATGAGGTTGATTGTTTTTGTCTTGTAAATTTGTTTAAGTTCTTTGTACATTCTGGATATTAGCCCTTTGTCAGATGGATAGATTGCAGAACTTTTCTCCCATTCTGCAGGTTGCCTGTTCACTCTGATGATAGTTTCCTTTGCTGTGCAGAAGCTCTTTAGTTTAATTAGATCGCATTTGTCTATCTATTGTTTAGAATAGTTTCAGAAGGAATGGTCCCAGCTCCTATTTGTACCTCTGGTAGAATTCAGCTGTGAATTCGTCTGGTCCTTGGCTTTTTTTGGTTGGTAGGGTATTAATTAATGCCTCAATTTCAGAACTTTTTATTGGTCTATTCACGATTTGACTTCTTCGTGGTTTAGTTACGGATTTTCTTCCTCCTGGGAGGATGTATATGTCCAGGAATTTATCCATTTCTTCTAGATTTTCTAGTTTTTGTTTTGTTTTGTTTTTGCATAGAGGTGCTTATAGTATTCTCTGTTGGTAGTTTTTATTTCTGTGGGATCGGTGTTGATATCCCCTTTATCATTTTTTATTGTGTCTGTTTGATTTTTCTCTCTTTTCTCCTTTTTTAGACTGGCTAGTGGTCTATCTATTTTTTTAATCTTTTCAAAAGAACAGCTCCTTGATTCAATGATTTTTTGAAGGGTTTTTCATGCCTTTATCTCCTTCGGTTCTGCTCTGATCTTACTTATTTCTTGTCTTCTGCTAGCTTTTGAATTTGTTTGCTCTTGCTTCTCTATTTCTTTTAATTGTGATGTTAGGGTGTCAATTTTAGATCTTTCCTGCTTTCTGATGTGGGCATCTGGTGCTATAAATTTCCCTGTAAATAGTGCTTTAGCTCTCTCCCAGAGATTCTGGTACGTTGTCTGTTTTCATTGGTTTCAAAGAACTTTGTTGTTTCTGCCTTATTTTTGTTACTTACCCAAGAGTCATTGAGGAGCAAGTTGTTCAGTTTCCACAAAATTGTGTGGTTTTGAGTAACTTTCTTAATCCTGAGTTTTAATTTGATTACACTGTGGTCTAAGAGGCTGTTTTTTTACATTTGCATCCATTCTTTTGCATTTGTTGAGGAGTGTTTTACTTCCAATTATGTGGTTGATTTTAGAGTAAGTGCTATGTGATGCTGATAAAAATGTATATTCTGTTGATTTGATGTGGACAGTTCTGTAGATATCTACTAGGGCTGCTTGGTCCAGAGGTGAGTTCAAGTCCTGAATATCCTTGTTAATTTTCTGTCTCATTGATCTGTCTAATATTGACAGTGGAGTGTTAAAGTCTCCCACTATTACTGTGAGGGAGTCTACGTCTCTTTGTAGGCCTCTAAGAATTTATTTTTATGAATCTGGGCACTTTTGTATTGGGTGCATATATATTTAGGATAATTAGCTCTTCTTGTTGCATTGATCCCTTTACCATTATGTAATGCCCTTCTTTGTCTTTTTTGATATTTCTTGGTTTAACGTCTGTTTTATCAGAGACTAGGACTGCAACCCCTGCTTTTTTTGCTTTCCATTTGTTGGTAAATAGTCCTCCATCCCTTTATTTTGAGCCTATACATGTCTTTGCGTATGAGATGGGTCTTCTGAATGCAGTGCACCAATGGGTCTTGACTCTATCCAACTTGCCATTCTGTGTCTTTGAATTGGGGCATTTAGCCCATTTACATTTAATGTTAATATTGGTATGTGTGAATTTGATCCTGTCATTATGATGCTAGCTGGTCATTTTGCACATTAGTTGATGCAGTTTCTTCTTAGTTTCGTTGGTCTTTATATTTTAGTATGTTTTTGCAGTGGCTGGTATCAGTTTTTCCTTTCTATATTTAGTACTCCCTTCAGGAGTTCTTGTAAGTCAAGCCTGGTGGTCACAAAATCCTTCAGCGTTTGCTTGTCTGTAAAGGATTTTATTTCTCCTCCACTTATGAAACTTAGTTTGGCTGGATATGAAATTCTGGTTTGCAAAATCTTTTCTTTAAGATTGTTGACTATTGGGCACCACTCTTTTCTGGCTTGTAGGGTTTGTGCAGAGAGACCCACTGTTAATCTGATGGGCTACCCTTTGTAGGTAATCTGAACTTTCTCTCTGGCTGCCCTTAACATTTTTTCCTTTGTTTCAACCTTGGAGAATCTGAGAATTATTTGTCTTGGGGTTGCTATTCTCAAGGAGTATCTTAGTGGCATTCTCTGTATTTCTGGATTTGAATGCTGGCCTGTCTTGCTAGGTTGGGGAAGTTCTCCTGGATAATATCCTGAAGTGTTTTCCAACTTGCTTCCATTCTCCCCATGACTTTAAGGGACCCCAGTCAATCATACCTTTGGTCTTCCCATATGGTCCCATATTTCTTTGAGGCTTTGTTCGTTCTTTTTCATTCTGTTTGTTGTAATCTTGTCTTCACGCTTTATTTCATTAAGTTGATCTTCAATCTCTGATATCCTTTCTTCTGCTTGAGCAACTCAGCTATTGATACTTGTGTATGCTTCACAAAGTTCTCATGCTGTGTTTTTCAGCTCCATCCGGTCATTTATGTTCTTCTCTAAACTGGTTATTCTAGTTAGCAATTCCTGTATCCTTTTGTCAAGGTTCTTAGCTTCCTTGCATTGCTTCCTTTAGCTCAGAGGAGTTTGTTATTACCCACTTTCTGAAGCCTACTTCTGTCAGTTCATCAAACTCATTCTCTGTCCAGTTTTGTGCCCTTGCTGGAGAGGAGTCGTGATCATTTGGAGGAGAAGAAGCATTCTGGTTTTTGGAATTTTCAGCATTGTTTTGCTGGTTTTTCCTCATCTCCATGGATTTATCTACCTTTGACCTTTGAGGCTGATGACCTTTTGATGGGGTTTCTGTGTGTGGGGATCCTTTTTATTGACTTTGATGTTATTGCTTGCTGTTTGTTGGTTTTTCTTCTGATGGTCAGGCCCCTCTTCTGCAGGTCTGCTGCAGTTTGCTGGAGGTCCACTGCAGACCCTGTTTGCTTGGGTATCACCAGCAGAGGCTGAAGAACAGAAAAGATTGCTGCCTGTTCCCTCCTCTGGAAGCTTCGTCCCAGAGGGGCACCCACCAGATGCCAGCCAGAGCTCTCCCATACGAGGTGTCTGTCGACCTCTGTTGGGAGGTCTCTCACAGTCAGGAGGCACAGGGGTCAGGGAACCCACTTGAGGAGGCAGTCTATCCCTTAGCAGAGCTGGAGCGCTGTGCTGGGAGATCCACTGCTCTTTTCAGAGCTGACAGGCAGGAATGCTTAAGTCCACTGAAGCTGCGACCACAGCCGGCCCTTCCCCCAGGTTCTCTGTCCTAGGGAGGTGGGAGTTTTATTTATAATCCCCTGACTGGGGCAGCTGCCTTTCTTTCGGAGATGCCCTACCCAGTGAAGAGGAATCTAGCAAGGCAGTCTGGCTATAGCAGCTTTGCTGTGCTGTGATGCGTTCCGCCCAGTCTTTAGAAGGGTCAGGGGAAACTCTCCTACTCAAGCCTCAGTAAAGGCGGATACCCCATCCCCACCAAGTTTGATGATCCCAGGTCGACTTCAGACTGCTGTGATGGCAGTGAGAATTTCAAGCCAGTGGTTCTTAGCTTGCTGGACTTAAGGGAGTGGGACCAGCTGAGCCAGACCGCTTTGCTCCCTGGCTTCAGCCCACTTTCCAGGGGAGTAAATGGTTCTCTTTCACTGGAGTTCCAGGTATCAGTGGGGTACGAAAAAAAAAAAAACTCCGCAGGTAGCTCAGTGTCTGCCCCAACAGCCTCCCAGTTTTGTGCTTGAAACCCAGGGCCCGGGGAATGTAGACACACGAGGGAATCTCCTGGTCTGCGGATTGCAAAAACCATGGGAAAAGTGTAGTATCTGGGCCAGATAGCCCAGTCCCTCATGGCACAAACCCTCATGGCTTCCCTTAGCTAGGGTAGGGAGGTCCCTGACCCCTTATGTAAACTCACACTTCCTAGGTGAGGCAATGCCCCACCCTGCTTCTGCTCACCCTTGGTGGGCCGCACTCACTGCCTAACCAGTCCCAATGAGATGAACAGGGTACCTCAGTTGGAAATACAGAAATTAGAAATCACCTGCCTTCTGTGTTAGTCTTGCTGAGAGCTGCAGAGTGGAGCTGTTCCTATTCAGCCATCTTACTACAGTTGGTAATCCAAACTGTCAAAAAATTAATGAAATATTATTTAAGGCACTATGAAGATATCATTTGATATTTTCATATCACAGAACATAAAAGCATACGCAGTTTATATTTCTGTATCACAAAGGAAAATTGAGACAGTATGTTCACATGTATCCAGGGAAAATATGACTTGTAATAAGTCCACTGAATGGCAGTTCAGCAGTATGTGCCTGAAATTTTTCAACCGGTAATAATTCAGTATCTAGAAATATCTAAAGTAAATTTAAAAGATTATATAAAACATGCATATAAAATGTTCATTATAATATTATTTATTGTAAAGGAAAATTAATCAAATTAAACAACAAGAATATTAAAAAGTATAGTGTATCCATATAATAAAAGATGAATCCATTTGGCCTTGTTTTTGAAGGTTATTAATCATATTGAAAATGCTCAAGTTAAAATGTTTTGTGAAAAGCACCTGTATCATTCTATTATTTGGTTTTAGATATTTGTATGTATTTATCCACTTGTAAAAAATTAATTTTTATGTGTTTTCTGAGGTGCTGAAAATGTTAGAAGTCATTCCAGGACTGCTCCCTCAGAAATTGATTTTACCTCCCAGAGTGTTACAGACACTAGAAAATATTATATATCAGGAGCAGAGGCTTTCCCAAGCAGCAGAAAGCATAAGGGAGGGGAGCCATTTAGATGGCAAAAGGTGATGTGGTATTTGATGTCATCCATCCCCATTCTCATTTAGCATTTAACATGAAATTTTCTTAGCATATTTGATTTGGTTTGATGGAAACATTAAAATTTCCAAAGCCTGTGACCTACCTGGCCCAGGGATAAATTGAAACAGACAGGGACACCGAAGCAAGGATCCAAAGAGAAACATGTGGAAGAATGGATTTGGAATTCACAGAGTGGCTCTGTTAGTATGAGGATTTAACTTAAGACCAAGTTTAATCAGAGTTTTGATGGCCAGTTGGGCCAGGATGAAATTTGTATTTGTGCAGATGTGTATTAAATAAGCTATAAGAAAATAAACCAACAAATTTAATAGTGGTTTACTCTTGTTAATGGGATTAGACTAAAATTAAAAAGAGAACAAAAATATATTTCTTTTTTAATATGCATTTAATGAAATTTTATGAAGAATAAAGCATTCTTCATAGTAACATTAAGATTAGGAAGCTGATATTAATAAAATAGGCTGGAAAATATGAGGAGATAAAAAAACCCTGTAGGTCAGAACCTTATTAATTCTAAGTCATGCTCTTCATTATGAGTTAAATTTCTCTATTTTCAATTCATTTTCTTTATAATTGAAGTGGCATAAGGATGGCGAACTTCCTTATTGAAATTGTGATGAGGAATATCTAATCAAGCACATTCACAATGTCAATTGCATTCTCAATATTAATAATATAAATGGCCTCAATGATAAAACAATTGTTGCTTTACAATTGAGAGTGTTAGGTTTCTAATCACCACCACATATGTATAAACTATTGAAGAGATTAAGAGCTCATGGCAAAAAAAAATCCTATAGTTATTTTCATGTTTATATAAATAAATGGCATCCAATACATTTAAAAATGTTTGATATTATGCACATTATAATTGTAAAATACAGGTACTATGCAATTAAATACTATTTATTATGCCTTACTGCAATGATTCAGGCATTCTTTTCCTTAGAGTTTCAGTAATTTACTGACACATTTATTTTCATTTATTTTATTTTAATACATATAGTTAGAAATGCACTTTCTGGTTTGTGTCTATTCAAATATTGTATAACTTCCTAATGTTATGACTTAAAGTTATCGAGTGTTGTTTGTTATATCAAAGAAAATAGCATCGGAGCTTTATACAAAGCTCCTTTGATTCTCTTCTTTTGCAACTGGCTCAGAAGTGTATATATAAGGATTCTGTTTATGTTTTATCTTATTTTTTTTAAATCTCCTATAAGGCTTCATTAGAGAACAAAGAAAAAAACACAAAATTTAAAACTAATCTACTTTAACTTCACCATCTGCTTTATTTCTGTCTTCTATTTCTATCCTCCAGTTAAATCAGTTTTGCTTTTTTTTTTTTTTACAATTATCCTCAACAAGAGTGACTTATGTAAACTCACGCTGGAAGAAGTAAAGCTCGAATTAGAATTCCATATGAGTACAATTTGCATTCGGGTAGGATTAAAAGTTTTAAATTTTAGTTGCAACAATTGAAAATCTAAAGAAAATCTCTCTCTGTCTCTGTCTCTCTCTCTCATTCTGTCTGTCCCTCTCTCCTTGTCCCCACTTCCCCCATTACACACACACACACACACACACACACACACACACACAGAGAGAGAGAGAGAGAGAGAGAGAGAGAGAGAGGGAGAGAGAGAGAGAGGAATTTGAAGGCTCACATAATTAAACTTTGCAGAGAGGAAAGCAGGTAAGCTTTTAACCAGAGGCTCAATATTATCATACTTCTCCTGGTTTGCTCTACAATAACATTGATATCATCCTGGAAGTTCCCATAAGAACTCAGGCATATTCCTGCTTGAGGCCTTTTTTGTGAGCATTTACACCCAAATTTTCACCCACATTTATTATTCATCAGTTTCTTCATTCTGTGTAGGTATTTTCTCAAATGTTACATCCTCGGTTTGTCCTTCTGTAGAAACCCAATCTAAAATGTTATATACAGTCCTCCCTAGGTATCCGTGGAGTGTTGGTACTAGGGACCTCCACCCACTTGGATACTTCATGGATGCTCCAGTCTCTTATATAAAAGGACATAGTGTTTTCATATAACCAGTCTACATCCTCCCATATACTTTACATTATCTATAGATTACTTGTAATACCTAACACAAAGTAAATGCTATGTTGTTATACTGTATTTTGAAAGGAATAATGACAAGAAAAAGGAGTCTGTGTGTTTCATACAGAGGCCACCATCATTTGTCTTAAAAAATATTTTCAGCCACAGTTGGTTGAATCCATGGATGCAGAACTCATGGAGAAGGAGAACCAGCCACACTCCCATACTCTCATCCAGCCCATATGTGTCATCTCCACTTTCTGTGTTTTTTTTTTCTTGACAATTATTGCCATCTGGCTTCCCAGTTTACAACATAGTTCTTCAAACATTATTTTTATTGACTAGAAGACTAGATTAGGCTGAAATGTAATCTCTATGAAGAAAGATATATTTGTTTCTTTATATGGTACTAACTTTCTTCCAGGGAAGGCAGAAAAATTGCCCTAAAGGCAAATTATGCCAAATGTAGTTGGTGGAACCCTATTTGGAGGGACTCCCTTATAGGAAGTGCGCAGACTATAGAAACTGAGCAGGAGAACTCTTTCTTAGTAATGAGATAGTCAGAGCTAAATTGACCAAGCCTGGAAAGCCAGATTACATTTTATAGCAATACATAGAACATGGGAAAAGATGCATTTGTTGCAAGGTGGGAAAAATTAAGTGATACATAAAAAAAATTTGCATTATGGTTTTATGTCAAAAAATATAAAAGTCGGTCAAAGAAAGAAGCGTTACAGCCAGGCCTGTAATCCAAACTAACAAAGAGACTGAGATAGAAGGATGGCTTGAGGCCAGGAGTTCGAGACCAGCCTGGAATACATCATGAGATGCAATTTCTATTTTTTTTTTTTAATTAGTGTGATCTGGTGGCACGCATCCATAGTCCTGGCTACTTGGGAAGCTGGAGTAGGATAATCACTTTGAGCCCAGGAATTAAGACTGCAGTGAGCTATGGTTGTGCTACTGCACTTCATCCTGGGGTAATAGAGTAAGATCCTGTTTCAAAAAAAAAAAAAAAAGAGAGAGAAAGAAAGAAATAGAAAGGAAAGAAAGAAAGAAATGGAGGGAGGGAAAGAAAGAAAGAAGAGGCATTGCGTAAGCTAAGTATGTTATGACACTCAAAATATTAGTATTCAAATATACACAAAATTGCAAAATCTGAAATTCATGCTATGCTGATCTACTAAAGCCTGAATTAAACAGAAATACTGTGACCATCTATCACCTTACCAATTACATTTTAATCTGTGAAAGATATCTTCTGATTGTACCCCAAACCAAATAAACACACCAATATATTCATTATTTATCAGTCTTCGGAGACAGTTTCTTCACACTTAGGGACTGGGTTGTCAGTGCCATAATTTGTGCTGAGAGTCGCAGACATCTTTGAAAAGGAATAGTTAGAGTCAGAATCAGGAAGATCCCTGAAGGAACCAAGTGTGATTTTGCCCCTTAGGTAATATGTGGCAATGTCTAAAGACATTTTTAGTTGTCACAAGTAGAGATCAGGGCTGCTACTGGCGTTTGGCTATAGAAGCCAAGTTTGCTGCTAAGGATCCTACAGTGCACAGGAGAGTTTCCTACAATAAAGCAATATTGAGTCCAAAATGCCAATATCGTTGTGGTTGAAAAATTCTTCCTTAGAGGAAGTTTAGGTTGCAGAAAGTGGAAAATAGTAAGAAAAAAGGAAAGATCAAATGCATACAACTTTATGAAAGTTAGAGAACCCCAGACTTACAAAAGAAAAACTGTTTCAGACTAGCAGACCATAATAACAGGAGATAGATTCCAGATTGGGAAATCTTTTTCTGGTTCATGTGGGCATTGCGTCTGACAGTTAGATGCACATAATTGGTTAGGACAAATTGTTTTCTTGTTATTTTCTTGCTTTGTTGGAACAGACTAAGCACTTTTGGTTCAGAATGAGATATATATATATATAAATATATATATATAATATATATATTATACATAAATATATATATAATATATATAAATATATATATACACACACACACTGCTTGGTCACAAATGTGTATATATATATATATGTACTGCTTGGTCACAAACTTTGCTTTTCAGTTCTTCCTTCTGAAATGCTTGCTTACATTAAATTTGCTTGATTTTTTTCCTCTATGTATATTATTAGTCATGTAGGTGAAAAATTTGAAAGAGTTTTGTTAAGTAGAATGAACTTGTGTGATAATAACAGAGAGCTTGCTCCACTTCATTTTTAAGAAAACGGGGAGAAAGAGGTAGGATCCCAGATGTATTAAGCATAAAATAACAAAATCAAATAGCCACTGAATTGCTCTGATGTAGCTTCAATAATACCATACGATCATGATCCATTTCATTCATGTCCTGTTCTATGCCTTACATCTCCTCTCATCTCTCTCTTTCGTGGACATATTTCTCAATGGCTCTCTGAAAGAACTTCATTAATTGAGTAGTTTATCCTGTACTTGTACTGACTCTTGGGAGGGAAGTTGGCTTATGCTTAAAGTACTACTTGAAAGAGAGCAGCATCCTCAAACTAGCTGTTCACTTTTAAATATTGTTCATGTGCATGTGTTACTGTTTTTCTAGTTCTATGATATATTTTAATAATTTAAATTACTCTCATATTTTAAATAAGCAAACAACAATGTGCTTTTACTTGGAAGAATTTTTTCAAATAACGTAAGAAGCATCTTTCACAGGATTCATGTTTAAGTCATTCTCATGTGGTTTTATTGCCATAAAATTGTTAGTCATTCAAAGTGGTAGAAACTTTATTTTTGGTCAACCTTAAATAGTATTATCTGGGCCCTTTTGGCTTGTTCTTTCCTAGGCAGCAAACAATAATAAAGCTTCAGATGTGTTCAACTGAGAAGATTAATAGAAATCAAAGTTACCACATAACTTCCATTATGTGTGAAGGATTTGATGTACAGGAAATTTACCAGTATCTTAATAGATCTAGGACAAAAATAAAAATTAACATGGTTTTTCTGTGTCCCTACCCAAATCTCATCTTGACTTGTAGTTCCCATAATCCCCATGTGTTATGGGAGGGAACCAGTGGGAGGTAATTGAATCATGGGGGCGGTTACCCCCATGCTGCTGTTCTTCTGATAGTGAGTGAGTTCTCACAATATCTGATGGTTTTTTTTAAGGAGCTTTTTTGCCCTTTTGCTCAGCACTTCTCCTTCCTGCTGCCATGTGAAAAAGGACATATTTGCTTCCCCTTTTGCCATGATTGTAAGTTTCCTGAGGCTTTCCCACCCATGCTGAACTGTGAGGCAATTAAATCTCTATCCCTTATAAATTACCCAGTCTCAGGTATGTCTTTATTAGCAGTATGAGAATGGACTAATACAGAAATGCTCAGGAATTACTGCTATGCCAATGTTACCTTTACATGCATGATATGTAAATTGACTAATTTCCAATGAGAAGTACTTTATAAATCCACATGTTTTCTGTTGATTGGCTATAATAATTGATATTAGCTATAGAGTAAGAAATGTTTAAGGGAGACCTCTAATAATGAATTCATAAGCTTCTTCTCTCACACTTTTATATTTGATTTTTATGCTATTATTCATTTACAAGAGTAAGCACCAAAGGAGTTGCAAGCTTATCTTGTATCTCGCTTTTTTTCAGCGGAACTTTTGTAAGTGATAAAATAAATTAAAACAACTATAAGAAGTGATAGATTAATTCATTCAAATTAGTGCAATGCTTGTGAATAGTTAAAACATTTATATTTAAAGGAAACATATAGACATTTTAAATGTCTTAGAGAAATTGAGAATGTCACTATGTCTTTACTAGTGCTGAAACAGGAAAAATAATTGAAAAAAACTTTTTTTAACAAGTTTTATTATTTAAAAATTCGCCTGCTATGGTTAAGAATAAATCATTTGTGAAAGAAAAACAAAATAAGGTCAGGTTATTTATGTGAATCTATTTCATATTATGTTTTGGATCCTCAAGATAGCAGCTCTTCTACCAAGATGCTTATTAACAGGATTTAGAGCCATTCTATCTGTACATATGGTAAAGCTCAGTACTTTAGAAGGAGTTTCACAAATATTTGGGAAAGAAACCAGAACGTAAACTTTCTTCAACAGTTTCTGAGCATCCAGAGTATGCTGGGCTGAATAATGGTACCCAAATTTTCCCCTGTGTCCTCTGTGTCCTAATCCCCATAACCTATGGATGTTATCTAACATGGCAAAAAGGACTTTGCAGATACGTTGAAGATAAGTATCTTGAGATAAAGAGATTATCCTGATTATCAGATGGGGCCTGATATAATCACAGAGGTCCTTATTAAAAAGTTGCATACAGAATCAGAGACAGAGAAGGTGATATGATAACAAAGCAGAGATTGGAGTGTTATTTTTTAAAGCTGAAGGAAGGAAGGTACAAGCCAAATAATATAGGCTACCAATAGAAGCTGAGAAAAAGATAAAGAAACAGATTTCCCCCTCAGAACCTGCAGAAGAATCCAGTCTTGCTGACACCTTGACTTTACATTAATAAGACTGATTCCAGATTTCCGACCTCCGGAAATGTTAGAGAATAAATGTTGTTTTATGCCACTGCATCTGTAGTGTTTCATTACAGTAGTAATAGAAAGCAAATCCACAAAGGCTTCAAGAAATTTTATTTTAAAATTTACACCAAAGTAAACTTGCTAGCTGAAAATCATTAAAGAAGCTCTCTAACTGAACACATAAATTTGAATGTAAATATGGTGATAGGTCCTCTCTAAAAATGTATATAAAATACACAAAAGAAGTCAATCAAGATTTATTCTTAGCAGTCATTTTTAGTCTTAGCTTTTAGATCCATCTGAACCAACTGATACAAGTGGATTGAGTGTAGATCAGGAAAAACCAAAAGCAGCAAGATGTTTAGTTAGTTGCATATCTCAGAACAAATGGATTTAACTTTCATTAGTTAAAATTCTGCATTTACCTTGACATGGTTGGCACGTTTAGCAGATCCATTTGTCAACTGCTTAGTGAAACTGCAGACTTTCACAAATGAGATCTTGGCTTGTAACATTTTGCTGTCCCATTTCTAACGCAGACAGGAATAGCCCGTGCTAATGCCATATCCTGCATGTGTACATACTTTACTAATTTATCATTCATACTAGGACACATTTGAGAAGGAAAAAGGGTCCGAACAGTTGCTTGGCTGGAGTAACAGGCATTAAACTAGGTCTGGTTTACACAAAAGGCACTAACTGGTATTCTTCCCAATATGAACATCTAATGTTTAGAAATTGGTATCTACATGATTCTTATGTTATCTATAACAATTGCAAAGTCATGTTTTCACCTTGTACTCAAAAGTCAACAGAAACACTGATTTAAAAAATAAGGCAATCCACATTACAAAGTGAGAATCATACATAATTTACTAGACAGCCAACATTCTGATTGCAGATGTAATCACGGGTATTACAAGAGGCCCATGGACTAAGTAACTTTTGTTTAGCCTCAGTAAGTTTTGGTGAAATCTTTAGTCACTTGTCTTTCAGGAAAATCTCTCTCTAATTCTTTTGTAATCTCTTAGTGCTATGTAACTAGTACAGCTCATTGAAAGAATATCAAAAACATTACATTGTGGAAACTCAACTCCAGGCACACAATGTTGAGGAAGACAGGCCATGATCTTACCTTAGGCTTTGTAATAGTCACTCAATGAGATATATATCTTAACTTTAATTGCAAACAAAATAAAAGAGAAACCTAACATCAATTTCTGAAAGTTCAGATTTGAAAATAGTGTCCACCTATTACTGAGGAGGGACTGACCACACATACGCACTCACACAGGGGGAGATACAGGAGATGGAGACAGAGATCCACAGGTTAATATTTTCTATCTTTTGCTCAGTTCTTCATAATCATTTCCAATCTAAACCTGGGATCAGGCAGAAAATTTTTCAGGCGTAAGAAGGCAGGCAGATGGAGGGCCAAAACAGGAATCCTCCTAGGTCCTGGAAAAATATGAGTGAGTTTTTTGTTGGTTGTTGCTATTGTATTTTGGATAAGCTTACTATCAGCAAATATAGGTCAGTTCTTGACTATTCTTACTTCTGCTATAAGAACAGAGAAAGGAATTTATTCATTCTTTGTTGGTTACCAAGTTTCCCTAGATTGATAGTTGGCTGAAGTCCTGACTGTTTATTTTTCCAGCTGCTCTTCAGAGTTAGGATGACTTTTTTAAGCAATCTATCTCAACTCACAAAAAAATCCTTTTGACAGTATGCAGATGACCAGACCTCCTTAAAATGAGGTGGAGAGTTTAATTATGCAATTGTACCAAAAATGTTTGACACACACTATCACTGAGATTTTCATCCAAAGAAAAAGTTACTTTTCGCATTTGAATAATGAATATAGAAATCTGAAGAAACACATTTCATTTTTTAAAAATTTAGCTGCCTCTCTTCTAACTCCATAATATTCTAATTGGCCAAGTACTTGTTTTTAATACATGTATCCTATCTCTTTAAGTAAAGATGTTGAGAGCTCCATGGTGTCATCCGGGGAGAAGGAGCTGAACTTTAAAAGTACCCAAATTAACCCAGGAGAGAACATTGTCCCTGAACTATCTCGTTAAAATGCCTGATATAAAAGGTAGATATAAGAAATATCTGAAATAATTATAAAATTACCTAGAATCAAACCTAAAGAGAAGGATATCATAAGAAGTCTTAATATTTTTAATATAGTCCAATTTGATCTCTTTTATGAGGACCATGAATTAAAACATATCTGAAGTGCATATCTGTAATGAGTGGACTATTTGAAAAAATTTTTTTCAACTCATGCAAGGTTATCATATTTTAAAGTTTTATTCATTTTGTATTTCTGTATTATTACTCTAGTATATCTGTAACTGTTTCCTATGTAATGACTAATACAATTCTGAGGTTGATTATTTACTACTTCTTATGGAAGGAAATGTTCTAATCAATGTTCTACCATAAATTGAAAAAAAATTGAAAAAAAAAACATTTAGTTGATTTTATTTTTTAGTCAAAGCCTGAGAAAAATCATATTACCCTACAGTTTCAAAAATTCACAAAGACAAAATCAAATGATGTGATGTATCAGATGTTATTTAATAATTTACATATAAGGGATATTTAAGAAAAAACATCCAAGAGTTTATTTGGAAAAACAAATTTAAAAATATATAGGGAAACTTTGAAAAAATACCAAAGAAGTACTTGGAATACCAGGTGAAAAAATTAATTATAAAGCCCCAATAATTAAGATATTATTGTAGCACAATAAAAAAGATAATTAAATTAAAATAGAGAAAATCAAATGCAAGAATATATTTAAAGTCATTTTCTGAATTTATAAACTGAAATCAGTGGGGTAAAATTTGATTATACAAAAATGATATTAAAAAATTATAATAAGGTATTTTGAGGGAAAATTTAGTTCACATACACTTCTACAATTGGAAAAAATATGTGACACATATATTTAATCTAAGTTTTAGTTAAATTACAAAATGCAAACTACTGATAGATTGAAGTTATCTAAATAAATGCTACTAAATAAACTTGACTTGTATTAAAAGAGTTAAATCGTCAATTATCAAAGTTTTTAACTAATTATGAAAATTAAAAAGAATATTAAAGTCACTTTTAGCCTGTTAAAGATGTACTCTTCCTGAGATGGCAACGTTATCAAGTATGTCTGTCTACGCCATGAAAAACAACATCAATCATAACATTTACAATGTTGTGGAAACAAAATGACATATACTTAAAGGAGTTATTTTTCTTCTGAAATGATTAAATATAACTGTAACAAAAAATGAGTAGAGTCAATGTTGGTTATCTTGAACCTAAAGCTATATATTTAATTGCTTAATTGATTGTTTATTTAATATTATGCCACTATTATAAGAAGTTTGCATTAGCAATTAGCTGGGAAAGGAAAATAGGGATTTTGGTTTTCTACAGTCATTTGTTTGATAGAAGAATGAAATAAATAGATGTTATGTAGCCTATAAGAGCAAAAGGAAGATTTAACTGCAAAAAAAAAGAGTTTTAATATCATTTTAAATGAGTAAGATAATCATTTATCTTCTTTTGTAGCCCTGATGATCACATTCATTCCTGAAGTTGAATGACATTTGGCATGCAAGTCTATGTAGTATGTGAGAGACAACTACAAAGGTGTAATGTCATGGCAAAGGCATTTTTACCTCAGCAGCTGAAAGTTGATTTAGGACTAAATGCAATCAGATCATTTTCATGGTTCTTTGAGACTGCTTGCTTTCCTGTTGAAAAGAAAAGGGTGATTTCATTCTCTAAAGATTTCCCATAACTTTTCTAATTTTCTTTTTTTGAATTTAAAGCAATGATAAGAGTTTAATAAGAGACACTGTATTTATAAAGTTTAAAAATGAAAGTCCTTGAGAAAAAATAAATACATCAGAATCAGAGAACAGTATAGCACTGGAGAATATTACACTTTGTCTACAGTGATATAAAATACTAATGTAGAAATTTTTAAAGAAAATGTATATATTTAAGAAGGGGAAGAAACTGTCTCCTAAGAAGAAAATCTTTAAGCACTTGTAGTAAAAATATTACATATATACACATGCATATACATTACATATATAGGCATATATATAAATGTATACGTACATATATGTATATATATAATAATGTGTAATGTGTATACATACATATATGCATATATGTAATGTATATGCATGTGTATATACATTTATACAAACACGCACACACATATATATACACATGCACATAAATACATATATGTCAATTTTACTTTACTCCCAAATAGTAAAATATATCTATGTGTGTTTAAATGACATACTCAACTTGCAGCATCTTGGAGTAACGATGTTCTAGAATGTATTGCCTTTAGGAATTGTGAGATTTTCATTTGTTTATTTGTGTTCATTTTAAAGTTATATCTAAGAGAACTGGGACAATTTCATTCTTTTACTTTATTTGTGCCATATGTGGTTAATAACTCCCCAGAGCATACTTACAATAAATACCTATTGAATAAAGAAGTGATCTTGAATAATAGTGATTATCATGTCTTAAAATGAGAAAATCAAATACTTGGTGATGAATTAGGTAGCCACATTTTTGTTCTTGTAGTAATACTTTTGAAAATCAAAGAAATCTTTAAAAGGAAATAAATGAAAATATGGGAAGAACAGGTTCTCTGGCCATTAGCTATGGTGCACTTTTATGAGATACTACAGATTGTGAATAATAAATTAGTTACTCGTATGTGTTTTAGAATAGTGTACATTTCTTCACAATCATGAAAAATTCCAGTATTTGCTCAATTTCTTCAGTCATTTTCTCATAATTAGAAAATAAGAGGCTTTAGTTGTTTTGCTTTGTGTTATCTGTGTTATTTTTGGAGGGAAACATTAGATAATGAATCACTGTAGTCTAAGAAATTACTTTCAGGATGAGCATGGTGGTGCATGCCTGTAATCCCAGCATGTTGGGAGGCTGAAATGGACAGATCACTTGACCTCATGAGCTGGAGACCAACCTGAGCAACATAGCAAAACCCCATTTCTACAAAATATGTAAATAGCCAGTCATGGTGGTGCATGTCTGCAGTCCCAGCTACTCAGGAGGCTGACATGGGCAGATGACTTGAGCCCAGGAGGTGGAGGTTGTTGCAGTGGGCAGAGATAGCACTACTGCATTCCAGCCTGGGCGATAGAGAGAGACACAGACCAAAAAAAAAAGGAACGAACGAACGAAAGAAGGAAGGAAAGAAAAAAAAAGAGAAAGAAATTCCTGTCAGTCACCTCACAAGTCATTAAATTAAATTGATCATTCACATATCCATATATGAGTATTTCTTTTTTTTTATTATACTTTAAGTTTTAGGGTACATGTTCACAACGTGCAGGTTAGTTACATATGTATACATGTGCCATGTTGGTGTGCTGCACCCAGTAACTCGTCATTTAACATTAAGTATACCTCCAAATGCTATCCTTCCTCCCCCACTCCCCACCTCACAACAGGCCCCGGTGTGTGATGTTCCCCTTCCTGTGTTCATGTGTTCTCATTGTACAATTCCCACCTATGAGTGAGAACATGCGGTGTTTGTTTTTTTGTCCTTGCGATAGTTTGCTGAGAATGATGGTATTTCTAAAGGAAATTTAGAAATTAATTATAATACCTTGGGTAAAAGTACAGATATTCAATAATTTATGGTCACCTACCATTCCTTGAACTCCAGTCACAATTTTATATGTAGAAATATAGATGGAAATATGGAAAAGATTGCATTTCCTATTTCATGTCTATCCCAATACATGCCTTCATCCAGAATGAAACTACCTCACAACATTTGTGATTATGTCGACTACTTCTTCCTTTCTGTTCCCATTGTTTGCAATACTGTCTTTCTACATAGCAGTGACTACACTAAATGGGATTTCTTGGAATGACTGTAAACACACATTAGACTGTGAGCTCAGTGAGAGCAAGGATGCCGTAATTTAAACTTTTTGTCTCTTTTTAGCATAACAGTTGGAGAAGAGTTATATTTCAGAAAATATTTGTTGAATTTTCACATTTCTCTAGAATATAGTATGGTCACGGAGTTGTCAGCAACTACTGTGATTTATGGAAAAATGTTAAAGTAATAATAGGAGACCAGAAAATGATCTTATATAATTTCCCAAACTACTTGAGAATTTTCTGTTAAAATCAGATTTCCCTTGGTCCCCAGAGAGCCAAAATAGGCCAGCTTTGTTTTTCATTTTGCATTATTCTATGTTTTTTGGATACAGTTCCTAAATTTAGGTGCTACCTAGAAGAGCTAGAGGAATAATAATGCTAATTTTTTTATTTAAATAATATAATTACTATTGATTTTACTTTATTAATTTTCCATAGAAGGTTTTGACTATGAGTGGAAATTGAACATTAATTTATGTAAATTCATCATTGCTTTTTGAAAGATCATTACATTTCTTTAAATTGGATAGAATAAGATATTTTAGAAATAATCTGTTAATAATTTATTAGTACTTAAACTTCAGAAGGATAAGTGAATAAGTGATGTCAAAGCAAGAAGGTGGCGTCATAAAAACAATAAAACATCAGAATTATAAGGTTATATACTTCCAATTTTTAACAATAATAGTTCTTATGTGTCAATTAAAACTTCCATTGAAAATATTTTTATTGGGGAATAGAGAATAAATTTTAAAATAAAGTAACAATTGATGAGATTTGAAACCTAAGTATAAAGGTTTTATGTCTTAGACCTGTGAGAATTGAGGTGTGTGAGTTGAAAAAAATTCTATAATTTTTATTTCCTTATCTGAAGTATGGAAATGAATATACAAATATTCTATCCAGGCTACTGAAAAAAATGATGAAATGAATAGAATGAGTTAATGCTTTTGAACCCATTTGAACAATGAATTCACATATGTGGTAAAATGGCCACATATACAAATACTAAGAAAAAAGAGAAAGAGAGAGAGGTGAGGTTTTCCCACTATTAATATCTGCCTATATGAAGGAATTTCTTTTCATTTTTCTGTATGGTTTCTAAAAACTAGCAAATGCTTTAAATAAATATAAATAGAATCACCAGGGAATATAGATGCTGTAATTCTAGGTATATGCCATAATTTCATGATATAGTTTCTTTAAGAAAGAGAAGTTTACAATGCTTAATACATCATGAAAAGCAAGATTTCTAATGGAAATCATTATCTTTCCTAAGAAAGGTTGCTGCTGAAATAAGAAATCAGCATCTAAAGTTGTTTTAAAATCCTCTTCATACTAGCAATCAAAATTAGTTTTCCCTTATAAAATAGAAAAGCCTTAAGGAAAGCAACATTGAATATATTTGGCACATGAAATGACAAATCAGTTGGTTAAGGTTATAAAATTGTTATGAATATGTATTTTGTGTCAATCAAATAAAAATCACAAAACTTTGATACTGCAAAATTTGCTTATTTCTGATGTGACATGAGATACAAGAAATAGATTACTTTCCTTTTTATAGACAATTTCTTGATTCTCTTGTTTCTTTTTACTGTCATTGTGAAACCATTTCATCTTTGTCTTAATTTCACTGTTTGCTTACCAGAATTACTCCTCTCACAAGCTTATTGAGGTTCAAAGTCAGTTCAAGTTTAGTTGTCTAATATGTACCATTTAATTAGTTCACTGTCAAAAGTAAGATAGATGTTTGCTTCCAAAGGCATGTTTGTGTATTTCCAAACCTTGGCATTCAACTCACTAAAAGAAGAAATAGATCAAATGCTGAATTGATTCCTCTTTTCAGTTTTTATACATCGAGTGGGCTGTCAAGTACAGGATAGATTAACACATTGCTATTTTTCATGTATATTGTTATTAGCAACTTATAAACACCTATTGTTTACTGCAATTAATGTAATTTTTATTTTCTTATAGAAATATGAGCTATACATTTTATAGTATAAGGTCTAATTTAATATATTTGATAATGAGTTTAGTCTCACCTATAGGTGGAGGAAACTTCTGATAAGCATGTTAAGTTGGGTTTTTCTATGGTAACTAAATCCCCCCTTCTCCCAACACACACACACACACACACACACACACACACACACACACTTCAGAAACCTACAGCAACAGAGGATCATTTCTCTCTCTCATGGCATGCCAAATACAGCTCTACTACTCATCCTCCTTAATTTCAGAAATAAAGCTTTGAGTTTATAATCAACGCTTAGGAAAAGAAACCATCCCAGTTTGCCTAGGAATGAGTAGTTCAGTAGACATAAGACTTTTAGCTTTTAAAAACAGAAAGTCCCAGGCAAACAGTTAAGTTGATCACCTTAAATTCGCCATACCATAATAAGTGAACTTATTTAAATGAAGATAATCATACTTCTATTTCAGAGGTAAAGTTTGAAGTGTATAAATTTTGATATAAATTCCCAGACCACAGAAAATTTTCTGTTAAATATTTGTCACCTAATCTATGAATTAAATGGGAAATAGTATTTAAAATGGGATTATTTTAAAGCATCAGTTCCAAATATTAATTTAAATAAATTTAAAAAATCAAACTAAGTGAACACTTCCATGTAAACTAACTAATTTTTAATCTCTTTTGTTCTAAATAAGATTGATGGGCCAAAGTTAATATTACCGTAGTACCTGAGGTCGCTGTGAAACTTAAGATATCTTAACAGAGAAGGTCATCATTCTACTGAAAGTTAACTTCATTTTAAAAGAGAGGTCACATTAAAATAACTGAATTCCACAAAGACACCTATCTGGTCATACAAATAACGTTTGACTCACTTAATTGTCTTTTTATTTAAGTTTACAAAAACGAAAAAAAATAGTGTTTTAGCAAGCAATGAGCATTACATTAGTCGCCATTTCACTGTGAATTTGAAATAATTACTTTTCTTTTATTGGCAGCATTTTTGAACTTCATACTCAAAAACAGGAAGTTGATTTAGTTAAAAATCATCTTACTTGTAAAACATAGTACTTAAGAGAATACTTTGCAGACTCCTGGTCTATATAATAAATATTTTTTCATAATAGTATTACCAAAGTATTGTCATTTGTTTTATATTATCCACCATATAACAATTGTTCCTTAGGAATATCAACTGGAAATCTGGTTCATCCAATAAACCAAAATGAATCTACCAGTATAAAATTAATCAATAAAAACAGCTGTGGTATATTTTAATGTTTCCCCTTTTCCCTTGGCTTCTAGAAAGGTCAGAGCAATTTAAAGACAAACATTTAGTTTATTCACTCAATAGATTGCATCACTTGAAGCTTAAGAAGGTGCACATGCGTATTATAGACGATGGACAAGAACAAATTAAGAGAGCAAAGGCCAGGAATGTATTTCATATAGCAAGCCAAAAAACACTTTAAGACTAAAATCAAAGCAACACCAGTTACCACTAATCTTCTTAAGAAGATAAACATTATGAATGATTAAGAAGTTAACAAACTGAATAAAGCTTTTGTAAATATACAAAAAGAACTTGTACACTGCTCAGAAGGCTTTTCTGTTGAACCTCTACAGAAATGATGAGCCTCTCAACAACATGATGAAAGTGAACCAAGTTAATACTGATGAAGCTTCAAGATTAATGGCTCAGTTGTAATACAGCGGTGATGCATCTAATTCCTCCCAAAGGCCATTAAGTTAAATGTTTTATGCAAAAAGTGCTTCCACTCTTCCATCTCACCATCATACTTTACTTATATTAACTTGCTTTAAAAGTTATATTGTACATCTATTTTCATGTTGGTGCTGTGAAATGTGTGTGTGTGTCAGCATCCTCACATGAACACACAAGGTATAAATGAGAGGTCAGAATCAGAGATAGACCTATATGACAACACTCCTAGCCTCTACATATGGCTTAAATAAATTGCTCTTTTAAATTAACTGCTCTTAACATTCAGGTTGTTATGTTAGAGGATAATGTACTGGTGTTGCAATAATTTTAAAAAGGTATTAAGAGCTGCAATCACAAATAACTCCCTCTAAATCCAAATTTTATCTAAAGTTATAATATCTTCATAGTGTCCTTATTCAGTATAGAAGGGTATAAGTACAGATAAATTGTTCAGGCACCCATTGAAATATATCCTGGGTGACTTTGTTTTTTTCATTAAGAAAAGCCAGAAGTCAAATTTGGTCTTCAGGTTAAAGTAGTAGGAAGAATACCACAGCACCCCTGTGAGCAGGGATTCATATTATTTGTGTCATTTTTCCTGGCATCTCTCATTGCTCCTTATCAGCTCATCTCTCTCAAGGTTGTTACAGAATACTTAATGTCTCATTTTTAAATGGTTCCTTAGCTCCTGAGTGGCAGAAACAGGGATTCGTATCCTTGATCCAACTTCCTCTGATATTCTTAGTTTAAAAAACAAACAAACAAGAACAAAAACAATTGCAGACAAAACAAAATACCTTAGACAGGACTTAATTCGAACTTAGTTTTTGTTGTTGCTGTTTTGTTATTTTTTTGCCGCAGAAGACATGATTTTATTCTTTGTTATTGCTAAATAGTATTCCATTGTGTGTATGTATATGTATGTGTATGTGTGTATAAACAATTTTCTTTATCTAGTCATCAATTGGTGGACACTTAGATTGATCCCACATTTTTGGTATCATGAATAATGAATCTAAGCATACTTGTGCTGGTATCTCTTTTATATAATGATTTCTTTTCCTTTGCGCAGATATCCGGTAGTGCAATTGCTGGATCAAATCACATTTCTGTTTTTAGTTCTCTGAGAAATTCCCATACGATTTTCCACAGTGGTTGTACTAATTTACATTCCTATCAGCAGGGCATAAGCATTCCATTTCTCTGCATCTTCACCAACATCTATTGTTTTTTGACTTTTTAATAATGGCCATTCTGATTGGTATAAGATGATGTCTCATTATGGTTTTAATTTGCATGTCTCTGATGATTGGTGATGTTGAGCATTTTTCCATATGTGGGCTGGCTATTTGTATGTTTTCTTTTGAAAAATGTCTATTCATGTCACTTGTCCACTTTTTAATTGGGTTATTTGGTTGTATTTTGAAGTTGTTGAGTTGCTTGAGTTCCTTATAAATTCTGGATTTTAGTCCCCTGTTGGATGCATAATTTGCAAATATTTTCTCCCAATCTGAAGGTTGTCTGTTCACTTTATTGATTATTTCTTTTGCTGTGCAGAAGCATTTTAGGTTAATCAAGTCTTATTTGTTTACTTTTGTTTTAGTTGCTTGTACTTTGAGATCTCAGTCATGAGTTCTCTTCCTAGGCCAGTGTCCAGAAGAGGATATTCTGAAATTATTTTTAAATTTTTATTTCAATACTTTTGGGGGTACAGGTGGTTTTTAGTTACATGAATAAGTCTTTAGTGGTGATTTCTTAGATTTTGGTAGACCAGTCACTGAAGCAGTGTGCACTGTACTCAATATGCAGTCTTTGGGGACTCAGAGGGAAGGGTGAGAGGGACATGACAGATAAAAACTGTCTATTGTTTTGTTAAGTTTTAAGTGAAGAAATGACTCTACAGGATCCTATCAATATGAATAATGTACTATTCTGCTAAGTTTATTTTGTACAGTCATATATTCAGAATTCATTAGGCCTTCATATTTTCTATCACAATGAGGACCCAAATCCAATAAAGACAATCTCCACTGACAGTGAAGATTGGTTAATGCCATTTGTAGACTTCAACATTTGATGTCTCAGTATAAAAGTAATGGGTTAAAGATTTTGATCATCTCACAACTTGGAAATATATCATAAAATTGTATTTTTTGGTAATCATTTAATATAATTAAATGGTAATTATTTTTTAAATTATTTCTTTTTTTTCTTTCTTTTTCATTTTTTTTGAGACAAAGTCTTATTCTGTAGCCCAGGCTGGAGTGCAGTGGTGTGATCTCAGCTCAGCTCACCGCAATCTCTGCGTCCCTGGTTCAAGTGATTCTCCTGCCTCAGTCTCCAGAGTAGGCGGGATTACAGGCGCACGCCACTGCACCTGACTAATTTTTTGTATTTTTAGTAGAGACAGGGTTTCACCCTGTTAGCCAGGCTGGTCTTGAACTCCTGACCTCAGGTAATCCGCCCGCCTTGGCATCCCAAAGTGCTAGGATTACAGGCATGAGGCACCACGCCTCGCCAATTTTTTTTTTTCCTCACATTTAGTGTTGACTCATACTTTAAGGTTGTTGTGCAATTAGGAAATTGTGATTGCAAATCCAGGTAGACCACCATGACTTGAAACAGAACAATGCTTACTTAGTGTAGTAATTTCATTAATGGAACTGTCAGATTCCTTGTACTGCATGTCTCAGCTGTGTTTTTCTCTGCCAAATTCAAGGGAGATTTGTTAATAAAAAACGTGGAGAAGTAGAAATAATTGAGGGGTATGCTCTAAAGAGAATACATAGCCCTAGTTTGTCTCTAGGGCTTAAATTTCATGCTGGTTGATGTCTTCCTAATACCTAAGTAGCGCAGCATGTACTAAAACTTAGTGATGACCTCAATGTGACCTAAAATGGTTTACATTTAGTTAGTTCAATTGTGGATATAACTATATATGATTTTTGTATTTGAAGATGCTGGAGATTACCATAAACAAATCATATTATTAGACAATATGCCCTGATTATCTTCAACTATTTTCAAATGATAGCAAAAGTCTAATTTGAACACACCATGACATTTATTGTGCTAATTCAACCGTTATAAGTGTTTTAAATGGTGTATCTCTTAATTTATACCATAGGTATTTTAAATTTGTGAGGGGAAAGATGTATTATAGCCCATCAAACAGAAGATTAGGGACTGTTGTATATTGAGAGTGAGTCAAAGCTAAAAGATTATCATATAGGCTTTTGAACATGGATATGACAAAAGATAGTACAGAAAGAAAAGATAAAGAAATAGAAGAAATAAAGAGAAGTATAAAAAGTGTGTCCCATAAAGTTTTCTATAATCACTGTGGTTTTAAAAATTAGCTGTTTATGTTATATGTATATATTGAAAAATATATCAAAAAAGAATTTACCATTTTTCCTTGTTTCCTTTTTGCAGTATGTATGCATTCCAGGGTGCACAAAAAATCCATGTTGGTTTTTGAAGAATGTTTACCTAATTCATCAACACCTCTGCTACTGTGGAGTCACCTTCCATGGTATTTGCCAAGATAAAGGTCCTGCTCAATTTGAATATGTGTGGCAATTGGGATTTGCAGGTAACAAATTTATGTAATTTTTTTCAATCTGCTTGAATCATTTCAAAATTTGCTAGTCACGTATTCATTTTCTAAACACACAAAGTATTTTATATCTCAAAACGTAATATAAACTAAAAATAAAATTAATACTCTTATTTTCTAATGTATTCCTTTAACTGACGTGTTTAACACCAACTACATCCTAGGAAATCTACTTGGTGCAAGAGAGATAATAGTGAAGTAAACTAGAGCTATTTCCTACTTTCATAAATCCATTTGTTGGAAGGGAGTGGTTAATGGACAAATACAGTGATAACTATGTAATTTTATTTAAAAACAAAATGCTCTTATGAAAACAGGTAGCATTCCATGAATGCTTATAAGCAATGAGCCTATTTAGAAAAAAAGAAAAAAAAACTGGGCAATTGAGATATTGAGTTGGGTTGCCAGAAAAGGTTTCCATGAGAAAATGACCCCTGAAGAGAGATATAGAGAATAATGTCATGGCAGAGAAGTTGGAGAAGAGAGAATTCTGGGTTGAGGGAATTGTATTTGTAAAAACATTATATTAGAAGAAATGGCTTCTTTGAAGGCCTGTCTGGGGCTGTGAGAAAAGACTAATAACAATTCCATGGAGGGGGTAAAGCCAGAACTAAAATGCTGGGTTAGATATTTTGATTTCTCTTCTAAAAGGAATAGAAAATTACTATAGGTTTTGACACATTCCATAAGTTTATAACAAGTAGAGAAACACATGGAAGAGAAGGAAAAAAGCTAGGGAGTTGGTTGGAGTAATAAGGTGAGTCATAATGCTGGAAGCTTGAAATAAATGGAAGATCTTGTTTATGAATTGGAAATAGCAAGTGATGAAGGTGTCAACAGGACTCCTAGTTTTCTGTCTTACACACTTGAAATGAAATCATTCCAGCACTTGTGTTCCCATATATGTTTTTGTTTATATTATAGAGTTTCAATTTCTATCGCAATCTATTTTGATGAGCTTAATTTTCATTCTTTGATTACATTTCTAATATTATTTAACTTAGCTGATGCAAATTTGATTTACATTCTTAAGACTATATGGTATTTTCATTCTTTTAAAGAATATTTCCTCTGACAGTGATATTTTGGCACTTCAGTTTACAAACAACCAGCAAATTAACAGTTTGATGTGTCTGTTTTTGAGTAACAGCTAACCAACAGCAGCTGAATTTCTAACATTGTATTACATCACAACAGTGTTGAAGTAAACTAACAATTAGCCTTTTAAACAGAAAACATGATAATTTATTTCACCATGCTCATAAAATAGTATACTGTAGAGTTAACAACCTTTAGTGACAGAAATAGTTATCAGTTCATTAATCAGATCACACTGAAGACCAAAAGTGGTAGAAGAGAGCAAAGCATTGTTGATTATACTATGTTGATGCTAAAAGGAACTTTCAGAGACTCTGTTATGAATACTTACTATTTTATAAATGACACAATCAGACGAAACAAAGAAATAAATATAGTTGAGGTTAGAGGAATTAACCTCAGGACTATTTAGGGATTGTGTCAGTTCAGTTGTTTTTAAACCCTGACCACATATTAGAATCATCTGAAGGAGCTCTTGAAACATACTAATGGTGAACTCTCATTACAGAACAATCAAACTGGAATTGTAGTGAGATGGACACAGAGTATTTTTTGAGGTTCCCTACATGCTTTCAGTGTGCAGATTGAGAAATGCTCTCTACTGTTACAACCAAATTAGTTCACATATTTCAGTGCTTGCATCGTTTTTGCACTTCATTTTCCTTTATCTCATAGTAGGAATAATGCTTTCATATGTTTGGTTATTTTTAAATATTAAACTTCTTTTGAGAACTATAAATTGCTACAGGGAACATATTCACAATGATGAAATGGCAGAAGTATTTTTGAGGGAAAATGGAAGGAGTAATAGTAAGTCAAATTGCTCATGGATAAATCAGCTTTGAGCAAATATAGTCAACTTTATGAATGGCAGTAAAATAACAAATATATGTTTTAGAAAATGGGTGGTGTAATACAAAGTTAAAATTACTCATGGAAAACTTAGCAGAAAGCAATTATCTTCAAAACAGTGTATGCATATTTAATCATTATTCCTTCCTGAATTACTGGACAGAACTTACTGAATATAGCTAATTATAACAAAAATTAAAATTATGTGACCGCTACATCTGAGAATCTAAATGACTTGGGCTTTCCAATGGAAAAGAAACAGTGTGATAATGCACAGACTGAATGAATGTTTAAGTAAAACACTTAAACTCATTTTGAATTTCAATATGAAGATTCAGCAGTGAAACTTCTCAAGTTTTCAAAACAAAATAGAAGTTAAAATAAATGAAAACATATGTAAATAGAATTATACATTTTATGTATTGCAAAATTCCTTCTTATTTCTTTTGATAATTGCCATTAAGATCTTCTTTTACTTCTTCCTCACGAAATATAAAATGTAATTGAAGAGGAACTTTAAAATCATGCTGGTAATTTTGCATGGGGTGCATTAATTTTACCAGCAGGAAGATTATTTTAATTAAGGGATTTTTCTAACAACTAAATTAAGTGTCTTACACGCCCAATCAATTCTTGCCAATATGATTGCTCTACAGAGAAGGGATGGTGATTAATTAGAAGAAGCCCCTTCAAGGACAATTGGTCGACAGTGCACATCTTGAGAAAGAGCTGACATGCACTGTTTCTTTTCAATGTCATCATCTATGTTCATTATGTGTATTATTAAGTTTGAGGAAAAGAGCTACTGACAGAGTGGATAAAGAGTTGCGAAGTGAAGTAAGACAATATGAATCATGCTTAAGAAAAGATAAAATCCTAGACAAAAAAAGAAAATAAGAGAAATTCTTTTAAATCTCTTTCTTCTTGAAGCATGTCGTTATTTCAGTTTGCTTATCCAAGTTAAACATAGAGTTAAAACACTTAACATGTACTAGTGAACTTTTTTTTTAAATAAATAGTGATTGTTGCATTTGTGAGTTGATATTGCAAACAAATATTTACTTTGAAAGTTTTATTTTTCCTTTATAAAGTAATGGATCTTCTGGTAGAAGACATTCCAGAATATTAATTATAATTTATGCATTATACGTTACTTCTTAAATTTTAAACGATTTTTGTGAAAATAGGAAATGCTGTATCAACAAAGCAATCTTTATCAAAATCTATTTTTCTTAGTATATTGTTCTACCTTCAAGTCTTCTTTTGTCAAATGCCTGCTATTTATATATCTATTAAGTATTTTAGGGACTTTAGTTTTAATCTTTAGTTGAAGGCTTTTTAAAAATCTGAGTATTAAAAAAAGTGGTTTAGTATTTTTCATTCATATCACTTATAGTAAGTTTTTAAAGCATTTTTACATGCCTTGAAAGAGAATTCTCTTAATTAAGTCACTAATTAGAAATAAACAACTTTAATAAACAGAATCAAGCTAATTAAATCATAAGGAAGAAAATATTTCTTACAAACAAGAATTAAAATGTTAAAATGCATTGGACTAAAATTAACAAAAACATGCAACTTCTACATGGAGAAAACTTTAGATATTGCTGTAGTATAGGCGCATGCATACATAATCTGAAAGAAAATTCTAAAGATATATTACACTGTAGCTACTATTATTCTTAATAGTTTTTTCTTTCAACCTTCATACTAATTGTATTAGTGATTTACACACTACCATACAGTATTTGAGTATTCTGAATTTTACAATGTGTTTACTTTTGCCAGTGAGTTTTATAATTTCAGAAGTGTACTTACCACAAACATGATAACTATATGAGGTAATGCATATGTTAATTAGCTAGATTTGGTCATTCTGCAATGTGTATATACTTCAAAATATCATGTTGTATATCATACATACATAATCATAACCTTATGTATGATACATACAGTTTCATCTGTAAACTTAAAATAATAATAACCTTCCTCCTGAAAAACTTATATTATACTGGACATACAACTTTTAAAGATTTCAACTCTTCATATTATTTTATAGGTTTATTGAGATTTTAATAAAATAATGGTGTTATCTTTGTGTTCTATGAAATTGACATCTTATTTCTTAATGTTCACATGGAATAAAAGACAAATAAAGCCAAGTGTACTCTGCAAAAGTGCATTGTTTGGACAAGTGGTGTATAGAATGAGCTCTGCCATATATTAAATTAGATTACATAGCTTCATTAATGAAAAGCATGGCACCACCGCATTGGTAGTCAACAAATATGACAAAACACAAAGTCTCAAAATGAATCCAAAACATGAAAAAATATATAACATATAATAAAACTGCCATCTCCGATTATTAGAATAAGTAGGGACTATTTAATAATTAACATGGAACAACTGGATAGCCATCTGAAAAAAAATTCGACTTGTTTATACCTTTAAACATTCTCTGGATTAAATTGAAATAGATACAAGTTTTAATACATAAAAAGAAAGTATAAAAATATTAGAGAATGTTGGAGAAATGCTTTGTAAATTTGGATGGGGGAAGAATGAAACTAAACCCCTATCTCTCACCATATACAAAAAGCAAATCAAAATGGATTAAAGACTTGCATCTAAGACTTCAAACTATGAAACTACTAAAAGAAAACATTGGGGAAACTATCCAGCATATTGGACTGGGCAAAGATTTCTTGAGTAATACCCCACAAGCACTAGTAATCAAACAAAAAATAGACAAATGAGCTCACAGCAAGTTAAAATGCTTCTGTAGAAGAAAGGAAACAACAAAGACAAAACTCACAGAATGGTATATCATATTTGCAAACTATCTGTCTGACAAGGGATTAATAACCAGAATACAGAAGGAGCTCAAACAACTCTACAGGAATAAAATAATAATATGATTTTTAGAAATGGGAAAAAAGATCTAAATAGATGTGGCTCAAAAGAAGATATGCAAATAGCAAACAGGCATATGAAAATGTGCTCAACATTATTAGTCATCAGATAAATGCAAATCATAACTAAAATGAGATGTCATCTCACCCTAGTGCAAAGGACAGGCAATAACAAATGCTAGCAGGAATGTATAGAAAAGGGAACCCTTGTACACTGTTGGTGGGAATGTAAATTAGTACAATCACTGTGGAGAACAGTTTGGAGGTTCCTAAAAAATACTAAAAATAGAACTGCCATATGATCCAGCAATCCCACTGCTAGGTATATACTCAAATGAAAGGGGATAAGTATATTGAAGAGATATCTGCACTTCCATGTTTACTTCAGCACTGTTCACAATAGCCAAGATTTTGAAGCAACCTGGGTGTCCACCAACAGATGAATGAGTAAGGGAAATATGGTATATTTACTAAATAGAATACTATTCAGCTATATAAAAAAATGAGATCCTGTCATTTGCAACAACATGGATGGAACTAGATAGAGGTCATTATGTTAAGTGAAATAAGCCAGGCGCAGAAAGACAAATTCACATGTTCTCATGTATTTGTAGGAGCTTAAAATTAAAATAATGGAACTCCTACAGATAGAGAGTAGAATGATGGTTACCAGAGGTTTGGAAGGATAGTGAGGTGGATGGAAGTGGGGATAGATAATGGGTACAAAAATATAATTAGATATAATTAGTAAGATCTAGTATCTGATAGAACCACAGGGTGACTACAGGCAACAATAATTTACTGTACATTTTTAAGTAATTAAAAGAATATAATTGGGTTATCTGTAACACCAAGAAAGGATAAATGCTCGAAGTGATGGATACACTATTTTCCCTGAGGTGATTGCTATACATTGTATGCCTGTAGCAAAATATCTCATGTAACCCATAAATATATACACCTAGTATTTACCCACAAAAACTCAAAGGGAAAAACAAAAAAAAAAAATGGATGGGGAAGATGTTTATAGTTAATACTAAAAATGTTGATGTCAGAAAGAAAAGACTGGTGAATTTCACTACAAGACAAGTAAAAATATCTGCTTATGAAAGACATAAAAATCAAAATGCAAAAGAAACACTGCACAAACATTTTACTTCACAAAAGATAGATTAGGATCGAGAATATATCAATAACTTAGAAATTAAGAAGGAAAAACTGAAAAAGCTGAAAGGTAAGTCAGTAATATAAACACCCAGTTTACATACGAAGACACAGAGAGTATCCCTAAATATGTGGGGAAAATGCTAAGCTCTATTCATAATGCAATCAAAGCAAATTTAAAAAACACTGTAAGTATATAATTTTTCTCCTCTTAGCCTGGTAAAAATTTTAGAATTGGACAATTTAATGACTATCCATTGCTGGCAATACTGTAAAATCACTATAATATCTAAGTGGGATAGTTTTGCAATATCCGTCAATATTACAAATTCTATACCATTTGACCTAACCTTCTGATCATTGAGAATACATCCACATGCTAAATAATATAGGTGTAATTTTATACCTGGTATCATTGGTTATTAAGAAAAAGAGTAAACATAAATATGGAAATGAATGTAGAACTCATCTAGGACTGAGATACATGATAAGGTGAAAGAAAGGCATGCAGCAGTGTAGAATCATGTGTATAGTAGACAACCTTGTGCTTCTTTATATATAATTTGTGTTTATTTCTGTGGAACACTTTTCCATGTTTTTTGCTCAGTGTTCTGAAATTTCACAATGTTGAAACGTTTACATAGTATGTTCTTGTTGTCTCTTGTTAAACTCTTCTATTTGGAAGCATGGGTCTTTCCATTTTTAGGTAGTTTCTGTATTTTTTCCCCTAAAAAGTCCTTTTTCCTGTTTTTTTCTGTAGCCCCAATTCCAAAAATTGGGTATCACATCTCCTAAATTGATCCCCTCGTTTTCTCATAATTTCTTTTCTCTTTCCTATTTCTTTTCATATTGCTTTATTTTCTACTCCATTCCTCCAATTGAATATCTCAAAATGAGTTTGAATTTTTAATTTGTTTTACTATATTTGTAATAATCTAGGGCAGTTTTCCATCCTTTAAATTATACACACTTCGGACATTGTTTTTTGTTTTTTTTTTCAATAAGGGTAAAATGACTTTTCTTCTCTCTCTAAAAATGTTATAGTTTTGTTTGTTTTAATTTTCTTCTTTTTTGCCTAGTGTCTCAGTTTTCTGTAAATACTGTTTATAAAGATTTGTTCTCTCTCGTTTGGAGTCTTTCTGCCAAATGTGGGGTGATCATATTTAACGGAGAGGAACTAAGAAGGCTGACTGGAAACTGACCATACAAGGATGGGCCATGATGACTGGAGCTCTATGACAGGGTTGCAGGATGGCAACTAGGCTTTCGCTAGGGGACCCTCAAGGAGCTTGGTATCCTTAAGGCAGGCGCTCCTGAGATTCTTTAACTCCTGAAAACAAACCTCGGAAATTGTTTGTTTGTAAAGCTGAGTGAGGAGTTAGAATAATAATCTGGATCACTGAGTTGGGAGAGAGACTCTCAGTGTCAGCTAATCGTGTTTCCAGAGCCCACCTTAGTATCAGATTCTCAGATGCTTTTTAAACCCAGAGCATCTCAGTATTTCTGCTAGTCCAATTTTTTTTTCATAATTATATCCCCTCATTTGTGTTTTGGCTGTAGCCTTTCTGCTAATTTAGTCAGTGTATCATTTTTTTTCATCTTCTCACTCTTTTTTGTGGGTTAAAACGTTTGTTTTATTTATTTTTTTAATTCTCTGTTTTTTTGAGGTCTTGGGAGGCAGAGGGAAGACGTTAAGAGTTAAATCCTAATGTTTAGTCAGATATATCATTATGAAAAACTTTATACTAATAAATTGGACAATTTAAATGAAATGGATAAATTTCTAAAAAAATACTAGTTGGAAAAACTGAGCAAATCATAAATTTCAATTCTAAATAATCCTACAATTTCTTAAATAACTGAATAAAATAGTTTTAAAAATCATCCCACAAAAGCATACTTGAAATATATGGCCTTCTATTAAAGTTCTCCAAATTTTCAATAAAGTATTCATTCTAATACTACATAAATTTGCACAAAAACACAGAGGGAGGAACACATATCAATTAATTATATGGAGCTAGCATAATCCTGTTTGAGTTAATTACTCTCAGAATGTTACAGGTAGAATTTTTATTGACCTATCATTAAATTTACTGATCTTTTCTTCTCTTGTGTTTGATCTGATAATCTCATCCATTAATTGTTTTATTAACATAGCCATAATTTTCTGTAATCTTAAATTTATAAACAGTCAAATTACATACATATGATTGAAGAGATTTGGGATATTGTGCTTGGTTCCTAGCTCCTTCTTTTTTTCCAGTAATATGTGAGATTTCTTGGTGAAATATTCACACGGTAGGGAGATGTCAGTTTATGAATCATTTCTAATTTACAACTCAGTTGTAAAATGCATAGCTTACATTCTATTTTCCAAGAAATGATGCCTTGCGAGTCCCTAGAGTTTAGATTTGTTTACTATAAGCAATCCAAAGCCAGAGATATTTTGCTAAAAGATTCTTTAGATAAATACTGTCCTCTGACAAATATTTTTTGTTTGTTTACTAGGAGATGTAGTCATGTTTACAAAAAGATTGGATCAGGTCTTCTATGTTCTTTTATTACCACTATTAATGACCAATAATGGGTTTTCAGCCCAGTTTAATTAACTCCTTTTTCCCTACAATTCTGAGATTTACCATTTTTTTGTTTGGTTTTTCCTACAATTTCAAAATCTCTCATCCCCTAATTCCTTATCTAATTATCTATTTTATTCATCTTTTCCTGTTGATTTTTCAGAAAGTTTAATATAATCATTTTAAAGTCCTTGTCTGAGAATTCTAGGTCTGGGCCTTAAAATTTTAGTTTTCCTCTTGAATATAGGTCACATTCTCTTGAATATAGGTCACTTCTTTCTTCTGCTCTTTTGCAATCTCTGCTTTTATTTTTGTTATAGGACAGTGTTCTTTTTATCGTTCTACCATCCTTTCTTATAATTATTAATTACAGTTTAGTCAAAATTTGATTATTTTAAAAAATGAATTGGCCTGGGAGCTGTCTCTTCTTCTTCTTGTGATGCTGTATTTCTCAGTTCATGTTTAAAATGAGAGTGTTGGGCTTTGAGGTCTTCTTCAAATTCAATATCATATGCATACAGGAACTTATTTTGTGGCAGATGTTGTCAAATTTATCTTTTCAAGTAATTTGACCACAGTCCTTAATAATTCATTCTGAATTCAAGTTTGTAAGAGTTTATTTAATTTTTTATCTCTTTTTTTTTAAAGGATCTGAAGGCGAAAAGTGCCAAGGGGTTATTGATGCCTATTTCTTTCTGGCTGCAAACTGCACTGAAGATGCAACCTATGTGAACGATCCTGAAGATAATAATTCTTCATGTTGGTTCCCACATGAAGGCACAAAAGAGGTAAGGTAATTTTATGTAGTTGCTTTTCATTTTTCTCTTTAGCTTGTAATTGTCTGATTTTTAGAAAGTTAGAAATGTTTAGGTTACAGATTCTTAAATATTCAAAATATATAGTTTGCATAGTTTAAATATAACTTCGTAAACAAATTCTCAACAGTCTACTTGGAAATTTATATTTACGTCATACATTTATAATATGGGAAAGTAAAAATTTTGAAGAATCATTTTGTTCCTAGTCTTCTTGTTTTTTATTAATGTTATAATTTGCAGGCTGACTAAAGCCTCTCAGATACAGTTGTGATTATGCCACTTTTTTTGCTTACAGATCATAATGAAATGCATTTGTCTTTTGGATATGTTTAAATCTCTGAGAGATTTCTAATCTCTTACACGAGCAAGCTACTTAAAAAATAAAATAAATAAAAATAAATGAAAATAATTTCTAATCTCTAGGCAGTTCCATCACTAAAAATTGTGAGGCCTATGGCAAGAATAAAAGAGAGGCCCTCCTTTTATCCCCTCACCACTGTCTTATACAAATTAAGATTATATTTTTTAATATGTAACAATAATTAAGAAAAATTTAAGAATCTTCATTTTAAACAACTTAGGAATAGGAACTTTTTGTTAAAATGATTCAAGAATTTTCCCAAAAGATAATTAACAAAGTATTTGTAACCTATCTTGTCTTGATACATCCTAATTTGGTCATTTTAAGAAAGCCATGTTTTAATTCTGCATATTGTATACATTTCAGTAAAGACTCATAAGCCCTTTTCTTTATTAATGTATCAATTTATATTGAGTCAACCTTGTAAAAACTGATACAAGTCACTATTTCCTTCAAATTCATCTAGAGGCATTACAACTACAGGCAAAAAGACTTCAAATACCACAGAACATCTAAAAGTATGCCCTAAAATATATTTTGATATATGTTTACAAGTCATAAATATATGAAGTAAGCTTAATACGTTCTTACATATATATATATTTTGCCAATCACATATACATCACTATACACATAGATGATTACATTACAGCTTTATCTTTAAGACTTTTAGCTTTATCAGTATATTAAAAATAGTTACATATTATAATACACTTAATAATTCAGTAACTGTAAACCTTTGTCAGGAACAAGCAAATCATATTTGTTGTTTTGTTTATGTATTTCTAGTTCTCAGTATCCTTTTATAATATAAATCACCAACTTTAATTAAATTAGACAATTTCTTTAGACTCAAGAAAATACGCAAATATAGCAATCTAAGATCATTTTGGCTATTTTATTACTTTATGATTACACATTTTATATAACTTTAACAACTTTTATCATAGGCAAAATAAATATAAATACACATCCTTCAACTGTATTTGCACACCTTATTTCCATTCTATAAGGACAGAGGTAATTTAAATCTATATTTAGAGACTATATTTTTATAATTTTCTTAATTAGGAATTGTTCAGGCAACCAAAATAATTTGATTAATTTGATTAATTGTTCAGGCATCCAAAATAATTTGACTAATTTGATTAAATATCTGTGTAAGTTCTTAATGTTGACTAAATATTTAGAAATTGTAAACTTACACAATCATTTTAAGTTCTTATGATTTGTAGTATCATCAATAAAACATTCTAATACATCAGTGTAGTAAAATTAGTAAGAATTCACAAGATTCAACCCTTTTAAATTATATCTGTTATTAAAATTTCGATTATATCAATTTTAGATTGTGTAATCAGACAATTTGAGGACATAATTATAGAATATTTCTCTTAAAGTTAAATTAAATCAGGCTAATTTTTCTGAAGTGTCATTTATTTAAAAATTACATGAGTCCTTTTTAAATAAATAAGCCTCTTTAGAATAAATAAATACATATGTACTAATATAAATGAGCAAACCTCAGTATTTATGTATTTTGAAAAATCAGAACTTTAGGATTAAGCCAAAGCTCTGTGGAGCCCAATGTTTTTCTCAACTAAAAGACTAACAATATTACCCATACACATGAATGCTTTTCCTGATTTGTTAAAATTTGGGAAGAGAAATCATGTAAATAAAGCACAGTTAATCGTTTCCTTTCATTGTAAAATGTCGACTATCTGAAAAATCATCCTAGAATGGCAATATAGAATGTTATAAAAATATTTATGATCAATTAATTTCTATTTTTTCTAAGCAAAACAGAAAAGGAGAAAAAGTGAAAAATGAATAAATGAAGTTTATCTAGATTCTGGTAGATGTAAAATTATGATTGCAAAGTTTGATTATCTCCCTTCTGCACAGCATTGGAGATGCTTAAATGAAGAAAAACCTATTTTCAAACACATAAGAACAAATTATTATAGACAGTTTAAACAACTCACATACTTGACAATTCCACAGAGCCATATAATTAAAAATCTAGTGCTTCTTAATCCCAGAAGCATGAAAATGAAAGAGAAGGTTTTGTATAATACACAGTAATCTCTCTATTAGATATACAGGACAGAGAATCTCCTCATGAGGATTTTTCCCTTTTTGTTCTATTAGATCTGTCAAATAAATAATCTTGTTCATGTCAAAATTTCCCCAGGGTGGTCACTGCAATTTCACATTGTCCTTTGAGAAATTATGCCAATTAGAGAGATATGTATATGGCTTACAATATGAGGGGAGGAATGTGTGGTGTCCAGGTATAAAAGACTGAGAAGAACCCGTGAAAACTTATGTCAGCAAGCATTTGTACAATATCATGTCTCCAGAAAATTCAAAAGATCAATCAATTTCAAATCAACTAAGACTGTTTAGAAGATTTTTTAAAAGGTGACAATAAAAATGTTGCCCAAAGGAACACCAGAGTGATGTGATCATCTGAACTCATCGCTTATTTAGAACACTTGAATGATGTACTTATAGAACCCACGCTTTCCTCTCCCAGCTGAGCTTCCTCTTATAGACTCACCTGAAAAAGTGATGAAGACGGAGAGTTTTCCTATTTGTATATATTCGAATTTTTTTTATTCTTAAGAAACAACAGAAACATGACATTTGTGAAGTTGATGAAAAATATTGGAGTTTAGACTTGATACTGTACCTATGTCACTTTCACAGTTGGAGAGAATATCCAGTGGTCTCAGCGTAGTGCATTGGTTGCTATCCAGCCTTGAGAGTGAGGGCATTTTAATGAGATTTTGTGAAACTTTGGATTTATTCACTATTTACCCTCCAAAAGACCACCAGACTATTCTGGTGATGGAGAAAAACTAATTATTTTAGACTTCTTTCAATAAGGGAAAACAACACCTTAGTAGAGTCTTAGTAGTGCATCAGATGGGAGAAGTTGTGGAAAGTTATTTATTTGGTGTAGAGCCTTGAGTCAGTTGTAGAGGGTATTTAGTGGGGATTGGTTAGAGTTTATGAAGGAAAGCTTCGTATTGGTGGCACAATATACTGAGAATCTTTAAAGTGAGTCTTTATGTGCAAACTGTTAGTTTTTGTAAATAACTTATTTTAGTTGGTTCACAGTCTTATGTTCCAGAAGCAAGTATTTCATAGAGTAAATAGTAAGTTAGTCTTGCTTTTTCTCAGTATTTTGAAACTTATGATGGGAAATTAGGTTTATTTTAGTTTTCATCATCAAAGACAGAAATTCCAAGAGTGTTGTTTTAATTTTTTTTGTATTAAAATGTGTTCCTTCTCTGAGTGAGGTCCTTTTAAATGCAAATGCTTCTGGAATGGAAACACATAATTACAAATAAGTTTATCTTATTTTCTACAACCATGCTACAAAAATGTTATGAAATTATATATTATTATGAGTTACTGGGAAGGGAAGGTGAATTTCAAACAAAGTAGAAGAGTCCATGGAGCACTAAAATTTGGGATGTGAAAGGTTTTTACCAAGTTTATTTTATTTCAGAATTTATGACTAGGTCTTAATCCAGTATAAATTTGAACTTTAATTCATCCAGATATGATTTTTAAAATCTGTTCCCTTTTAGTTAGCTAAATATAGAGCCAAAACAACCTTCCTCTTTCCCTCACCTTGACTAAACTTCAGACAGGTTTCTTATTGCCTACAGGCCCCTGCACTCTTTTTTTCTTATAGGATGTACTTTAAAAAATTTGCAGTTGTAAATTATCTGCCTTTTTGAAATGTATATAAATCTTCTTCCAACCTCTTGCCAGTTTAAGGATGCCTGGGATGTCTGTATCAAGGACCTTGGAACCATGTCTCTGAAATGTAAACATCAAAGAAAATAGTACTCTTACTTCCCTGTGTACTCTACAGAAGGCCTACTCACAGAGCAAAATCTTTGCAAACTCAATAATAACTCAATCTGCTTGACACATTTCATTGATCAAACTCTTCTCCAGTGACATCAAGTATAACAGTCTTCCCTCTTACCTGCAGGGATACTTTCCAAGACCCCAGTGTATGCCTGAAACTGTGAATAGTACCAAACCCTGTATTTACTGTATTTTTTTCTATACATACATACCTATGATGAAGTTTAATTTATAAATCAGGCACAAAAAGAGATTAACAACAATTACTAATAAAAATATAACAATTATAACAGTATACTATAATAAAAGTTATGTGACTATGGTCTCTCTTTTTCAAGATATCTTACTAAACCATACTAACATATTTTTGAACCGTGGTGACTGAAATCATGGAAAGCGAAACCAACAATAAGGGAGGACTGCTGTCATTTTTTATTAGTTCAAGTTCGCAATTAAAATTTCTCCTGCATTCTATTTTTGGAGAATTGAGTTTAGTTTCTCTCCCCTATTTCAATAGTCTTTAATAAAATTTAATTACCTATCTAACTTTGGTGCAATTTTTACCTTGACAGATATTATTTTAAGGATCCAGCTTTCTACGTATCATGATTAAGAAAAGTCACTTTCACCTCTGAAGTCACTTTATTTATCTATTTAATAACAAGGGTCAAAATGGCAAGATAAAGGGCATATATTAGATCTTACAGAATTTTTTCCCACAGAGTCCTTTGCCAAGTGACCCTATGTACTAATATAATGTGGATATGACAAAATTATTTCTAGAAAATTACACGATATTCCCTGAAATGATAGCTGGCATTATTTAACTAGAGTTGTTTATTTACCTATGCAGAACATTTTCTGTAAGTATGTTATAAATATCCTTCAGGAAGGTTAATTTCTCTACAGATGAAGTGACTTTGGGGTAATAATATTGTGTTATGTATATACATTACTAGTAATGAATTATCAAAAAGGGAATTTCCAGCTGTTTGTTTTACTTCTGTTTCCTTTGGGAAGAAAAGATCTTCCACTGCCCAAAATCATGATTTTATTGCATTCCTTCATCAAGTAAACATTTTAAAATATCTAGAATAAAACTTCTAATTTAATTTGTGTGTATTTTGTAATATTGAGGTTTTTGTGCAATCAAAGTTTAATAATTAATTATATATTTTATGTACATAATATATATACAGTTGACCTGTGAAATACAGGAGTTAGGGTTGCCGACCCCTATTCAGTCCAAAATTTGTTAACATGTTTGATGTAATGTTTTGATAGAATGTTTAATAGAATTTTTTGTATAAAATTTTTAAAGATTAATGGACTCCTTTAAGCAGATCTTTGATTCTCTGTATACACAAAGTTGAGAAATCTTTCCTCTGCTTTACAAGGCAGATTCAAGTTTCTATATGTCTACTGATATAATTTACTCTCTTGCTAATTTTTCTGAGAGACTTCTTATGTGTAAATTTTATAGAAAACCAAAATTCTAGTAGATGTCTAGACTACCTGAACAGATGAGAAATCATGTTGAAATCCAAAATTATTTTTTAGTCCTAGAAATTACTTGCAATAGTTTTTAGATATAGTACATAACTGCAGCATAAAATAATTCACCATCTTTTCCATTTAATAAAAGTATTTCAACCAGAGCATTAGATATAATTTAGGTGTTCATATCACATCCCTTAGACAAAATGTTATGTGGTTTTTGAGGTATAGCCAAGAGAAAAACTCATTATTCAACTTTAGTTCTTTCAGATTTTCTTAAATCCCAGTAATAATTATTTTGAAAATAAAAGGGAAAGCACATAGTTATATGAAGTAAGTCTGTGTTTTCCAAATTTCATACTAATATTCCTTGTTAAAATATTGCTCTCTTTCAAGATTTCATTATGTATTATTTTGTAATAAATATATAATAATTAAAAATACAATGGGTAGTTTGAAGTTTTGGTGTTTCATATTTTCTAATTATATATAAGGTGCAGAAATAATACATTAGGCATTTTTCCATAAAGAATATTTTAAAAATTAACAAATTTTGAATACGGCTTATAAGCTAGAAAATATAGCTTTATAGCCAAGTCAA